>NC_000007.14:82506779-82809809 GCF_000001405.40 Homo sapiens
TAGGCTCGTTCCACCCACTCGGCCTGGCAGGCTGCGCTTAGCTCGTGGTACTGGCCTGGATCCCACGCCTCCAAGGGATGAGTCAGACGTGGAGCAGTGAGAGGGGTGTGTGAGCGAGTGTGGGGTCCGGGCATTGCACAGACATGCTGGCTGCTGCCATGGGGTGGGCAGCTCCAGGTGCCGGCACGGGCGCCAGCTCTCTGTGAGGCTGTGGCTGAACCAGGTGCACTGCAAGCAGCTTCCCTGGCTGGCACCAGGAATGGGGTGGCGCCTGTAAATTTGGAGAGGCCAAGAACTGCAGGGCCCCAAAAGGAGTCACAGCCCTGTCTCGGGAACTCCCAGGTCTGGGCTCACAGGAGGGCCATAGCTCTTCTTTCCTTCTCTTCATCCACAACGTTGTGAGCAAGGGACATGATTCAGCCCTGTTTGTGTTACAGCAGCTCTTTTAGCCTCACCGTTCAATGGGTCCTGAGTTATTGTCCTGCGACCAGGAAGAAAGTGGAGGGTGAGCAAGACAAACAGGAGATTTATTGAGCCATAGAACAGCTCAGAGAAGACCTGCTGGAGGCAGCTTCTCTCCACAGCCAGGGTGTACCAACGAATATTAAGCTCCTGCCAGAAAGGGTAGCTCCTCTCTGTAGGCAGGTCGTTCCCACAAGTGTTCAGCTACCAGCAGACAAGGTAGCTCCTCTCTGTTGCTGGTCATCTTGTTGTCTGCAGCTCTCAGCGAGAGGAGGCACTAGAGTGGGTGGCTCCACTTGGCAGGCAGGTCGTCTGCAGCTTTCAGTAGGGAGGGTAGCTCCTGTGTGCACCTGGTCGTTCCAGCATCTCTGTGTCCTCTTCTTTGCTCTGGCTGAGATTGGAACTTTTATGGGCCTCAGAGGGGGAAGAAGCGCGTGCTGATTGGTTCATGGGGTGCCATGGGTGGGCCTGGAAAATGTACCACAAGCTCCCATTCCTGTCTGCGGGTCTGACAGCATGGCCCCAGTCTTCAGGCCCTCCCTTGCCCGGGACCCGCCCTCTTCCACCCAGGAGACTGCCTCCTGCGGCTATTCATGGTACCCAGGCTGCTGGCACTAAGGGGCACCTGCAGGCCAGTTCCGGAACCACCCTCAGCTTCCTCTAGGCTTCCCCTTTCACACTTGCGAGTGCCCAAAGTCTGGAGGGGGAGAAGGTGACAGGGGGCTGGGGTGTCAGCCTGGGGTGTCAGCATTGCCCTAAGCATGGGCACACCTGGCTGGACTGTGACAGTGTCCAGGCTCCGCCCCACTCTGACATGGGAGCAGGTGTCCTAAGCAGGAAGAGGTCAGGCGGAGGGAACGGATACCCTCGAGCCTGCGGGGACAGGGGTCCTTCCTGGGCCCCCAAAGGTGCAGACTACAGAGATGCCCGAGTCCTGTGCCTAAGAGGGCGGCTGCAGCTGCACCTGGGTCCTGCCCTACCAGCTCGGAAGGGGCGGGGCTCCTGCTTGTTCCCTGCTCCAGGTGGTTCCGTGGAGTGTGCAGTCCCAGCCTCACCTCTGAGATCGGTGTGGGCGCCAACGGCGACAAGAAGCCAGGCAGCGGGAGCAGGCACTTCTGAGCCTGCAGGGGGCAAGGGGGCCTTCCTGGGCCCCCAAGAGCACAGAGACGCCAGGGTCCAGAGCCGTGGCAGAGTGGCTCCAGCGGCACCCAGGGAGGGAGGGGCTCCTGCCTGCTCCATGGAGTGCCCTGGCCGCGCCTCCCTGTTGCAGCCGGTGTCTTGGCAGTGGCCGCTCTAGATGGGCCACTGCTGCCATTAATACACGCTTGAAAGCCCATGTTTCCTGTATTGTCTGGGAACTAAAGAAGTTCAACAACATACGTCCGTTCCTCTTTAGACAAATTTTAAACCCACAGAAAAGTTGAAAGAACAGAACAAAAACAACCACAAACCCTCTTTCTAGATTCAACTGTTATTAGGATTTTGCTACACTGGGTTATCTGTATGTGTATATGTGTGTGTTTAACATATATAACACATATACATGCACACACATACAAATTTAAGTTGCAGCTTTACCCCTAAATCATTAAACATGCATGTTCTATAAATAAAAACAATTTTCTAAATAACCACAATACCTTTGTAGTTTGTCTTCTCCCTCAAAGATTTTACAATCTAATACCCAGAACTTCTTAATAGTTACCCTATATGGTAAAAGGAAGTTTGCAGTTGTAACTAAATTAAGTACCTTGAGATGGGGGGAAAAAAAGCAGTTGTTGCCCAACCCTTGACATCCTGAAACCAGGTGGACCCAATCTAATTACATGGTTTCTTTAAATTAAAAGACTTGTCTCTGATGTGGCCAGAGGGAGATGTGACTATGGAAGAATGATTGGAGAGATGCAACACTGCTAACTAAGAAGACGGATAAAGGGAGCCCCAAAGCCGAAATGTTGGTGGCATTTGAAAGCTCAAAGAGGCAAGGAGATTAATTCTCCCTGTGAGCCCTTAGAAACTAAGACAGCCCTGTCAATACTTTCATATTAGCTCAGCGTGACCCATGTCAAATTTCCAACCTACAGAACTATAAAATAAATTTGTGTTGTTTTAAACCAAGTTTGGGACGATCTGTAATAGCACCAATAGAAAACAAATACAACTATTTTTATCTGTAAGAAAATTAACAGTTAATTCTATATAATCAATATACAATCCATATAAAATCTCTTCTAATTTTCTCTAAAAAAGCCTTTTATAGATTTTTTCCCCCAAATCTACGATCCAGTGAAGTTTACACATTACATTTGGTTTTTGGTCTCTTTAGTCTCTTTTAATCTAGAACAGTAGCCTTCCCTTTGTCCTGACATTGACTGTTCTATTTAGGAGTTCAGGCTGGCTGTCTTATAGAATGTCCCTTATTTTGGATTTGTCTGAGTGCTTTTCACATGATTAGATTCAACTTAGATAATTTCTTGGCAAGGATACGTCATAGGCAATGATGTGCACTTTTTATTGCTTCAAAGCTTGAGGCTCTTATCAGGTTGTCCAACTTTTGGTGAGTCTAAATTTGATCACTTGTTTTAGAAGATGACTGTGATTATTTTATTGTAAAAGCTATGGCTTTGTAATTGATGTCATCTGTAGACTAATATTTTGAGAGTTTCAAATATCTTGTTCTCCAACAACTTTTCACCTAATGGCTTTACCATTGATTGATGATTCTTGCCTGCATTAGTTATTACATTGCAATTGAAAGATAGGTTATGTTTCTCATTCTGTGATTTTTTCTATATTTATGAAGCAGTATATTTTGTAAACACAGTTATCCCCATGGTATACATGGGGGATTGGTTCTAGGAACCAATCAGAGGATGCTCAAGTCCCTTATGTAAAATGACATAGTATTGGCATATAACCTATGAACATCATCCCATACACTTTAAATTATTGCTAGATTACTTAGAATTCCCAATACATCACATCACTTCATTTGTGAATTTACTTCATAGTAAAATCAAGTTTTGCCTTTTGGAACTTTGGCAAACTTTTTTGATCTGTCGTTTGTTGAATCTACAAATGTGGAACCCACAGATATGGAGGGCCAACTGTATAAGGTTTTCTATTTCCGTTATTGCTTCTCTCTCTCTCTCTCCCTGTTGCTCTCTCAATCAGATTACTTAGGACATTTTTATGACTGTTTATAACCCATAAGCCTCTTCAAGAACAACATTGCTCTTTTGAATCCCACTAGTTTTAGAGAATTTCTTTGCTTTCAGACATAACAGAATATCCCAGATTCACCTTGTCCCACCCCAAACCAGCAATCAAGCACTTTTATAAGAAGAAGGAGCTCTGGTTCCTTTTAATGAGGAATGGAATTTAGAAACCAAGATCTGAGTACCATATGCACTCATTGTTCTTGAGATACAAAGAGTTATTGATGCAATTAGGTTATTGATTTTTCAGTCTTTTTTCTTCTCTATCAATTTTCTTGTAAGTGCGGGGTTGGCTACATCCCCAAAGTTTTGAAATAAAGTAATTCATTACACTCACTTTAAAATATTTTCTAAATTGCTACTGTGATTTCTTCTTTGAGATATAAGTTTTTTTAAAGAAGATTATTACTTAATTTCCAAATCTGTGAGGATTTTCTGGTTTTCTTTCTGCTGTTATATTATTTTAGTACTTTGAAGAATGTGAAGACTTGCCTGGCCCAGCATACGATCAATTGTGTTAAACATTCTATGTGAACTTGAAAAGAATGTGAATTCTATAATTTAGATGTAAGTTTATTAATCTGTTAGTTAGATCAACTTTGTTAGTAATGTTCAAATCTTCTATATCTTTATTGATTTCTAATCTGTTTTATTAGTTACAAAGAGATATGTGTTAAAATCTCCAATTATGGCTGTGAATTTGTGTTTTATGTGTTTTTGTTTTACATAGAGAAAGACAATGTTAGTAGGTACATAAAAATCTAGAACTGCCGTATCATTCTAGTGAATCAAAGCTTTAATTATGAAATATTCCTCTTTATTGGCAGTAATGCTTCTTGCCACTATTAGTATAACTATATGAGCTTTCTTTTAGTTTTTGAATACTATTTTTTTTTTCATCCTTTTACTTTTGGTCTTTTATTTCAACTTAAGAAAAGTCTTTTGTAAGCAGCATAGGTTTTTAAATTTTTTTTTAAATCCAGTCTGAAAATCTTTGCTAGAGTTTTCGGTCTATTTACATTTACTGTAAGTACCATTATATTTGAGTTCAAATCTGCCACATTACTCTCTGCATTCTATTTACCCACCTCTGTTGTGCTTTTTTCTTTTCTTGCCTTCTGTCAGATTATTTTCTTATTATTTATATTATCTGCCTTGTTAGACTGATAATTGTATATTACTCTTTTATTCTTTTAGTGGTTACTCTAATGGTTACATTGCTGACTTATTAAAGTCTAATAAAAACTAATACTCAGCATTTCTTAGACAATGCAAACACATTGGAACATATTAACATGATTTATACCATTCCTGCTTTTTGTGTTATTATTAAAAAGTATGTTTAACTCTATAAAACATTGTTTATATTGTTTTATAAAGTCAATGTTTATGCAGAGTTATATTTATTATGTAGTCTTTTCATTGTTTTTCACTTCTGCTATATCTCTGTGCTGCCTTGTTGGATCATTTTTCTATGAGCAGATCCTTATAGCATATCTTTGAAATAATTACTGACACAATTACTGACGTAAGAGTACATGTTAAGAAATGAATATGGGCTGGGCACAGTGGCTCATGCCTGTAATCCCAGCACATTGGGGGGCTGAGGCAAGCGGATTATCTGAGGTCAGGAGTTTGAGACCAGCCTGGGCAACACGGTGAAACCCCGTCTCTACTAAAAATACAAAAATTAGCTGGGCGTGGTGGCACATGCCTGTAATTTCAGCTACTCAGGAGGCTGAGGCAGGAGAATTGCTTGAGCGCGGGAGAAGGAGGTTGCAGTGAGCTGAGATCGTGCCACTGCACTCCAGCCTGGCCAACAGAGCAAGACTCTGTCTCAAAAAAAAAAATACTAATATGAAATATAGCAGGGATACAGAAGACAAGTGAGTTGGGAAGTATTAAATTTGAAGAATTGGAAGGAAGGTCAAACAGGGGACTGTTTATAAGAGAGCTTCTTATTTCTTCAGGCTAACAACTGGCTTGCAGGTTTAAGACTCTTTAACAATCCAATAATAAGAGTCAACTTTAAAACTTTTAGGTGAAGCTTAAAACTGGGAAGAAATTGACTTTGAACCATAAGGGGAGTTGGTCCAATGATAGTGTTTTAGATTGGCATGTTGTGTTTTGATTACAATTATTCCATTCAGATTGCTTTCTACCCTCTACAATCTACGCATGAGCACAGAGGAGGAAAAGCCTGTAATAAAAGAGAAAAAAAAGAAAAGAAAAGAAAAATAAAAAAAGAGGCAGTGTATATTTTTTAGATTCTTTTAAGGTGTGGATTCTGAGACAGACAATCCTAAAGTTTGAATCTCAGGTTTTATACTTCCAAGCTATTTTGTCTTAATTAATTATCTCTCCCTCTCTCTCTCTCTATGATCTTTTCATTTTCTCAGCTAGACAATGAATGTTATGAGAGTGCTTATCTTATTGGGTTCTTGTGAGAAATAAATGAGATTATCCTTAAAAGTGGTAACTCCATGCCTTACACTTAGTAAGAGCTCAATAAATGTTAGCTGCTCATACCCATACATCAGGGAGACTGATGACACAGGGCAGCATTTCATCATGACAATTGTATGAATAAAATCTTTTATAGAATGTATGCGCAGAAAGAGACATTTCCACCCAGTTTGGTATAATGCCTGTTAAGAGAAACAGTAAGTATAGTAACAGCCACATTAAGATCAGAAAGAAGTGGTAGAAATGACCTGAGTCAGGCTGCCAATAGAAAAACAGAAATAGCATAGGAAGAAATGTTGGGCACATCAAGGCAGAAGAAGCGAGAAGTTATGCTTCCTCAGCATGAGGTACCCTAGACCCAGGAAGGAGGGGTTGGGAACAAGTGCTGGTAGAGTTGAGCAAGGGAGTTTTTTGTTGCTGTTGTTAATGCCATTGTTTCCTTTTTGTATCCTTCAGATTAGTGGAACCAGAGAGAACATCAGATTACACAGTATTATGTATACGTATGACCTTAATACACAGCCGAAGAAGCCTAGTATAGCAGCAGAAGGCTTTTTCTTTGGGTTCATGGTACAGTCTAGAGAGAAAGAGGGCAATCTGAATAAGAAGACCCTAATACACAGAGAAGAACTCAAATACATACAGTGGATAGTATTGGTGTCCTTCTCAGATCCCTTTTAGTGCCTAGTGCACCCATGTACCAGTCACTAGGTGCATCAGCTGGTATCAACTCACAACCACCCCCTTCTCCCAAGACTTGCAAAACTGAAGCTGTCTCGCCTAGAAGGCTATTTCTCACTCAGACCTGTGCTGACTGGCTGGGTCCTTTGCTCAACATGGAACTAACTTATTTGTATAATTTTCACTCAGAGTACCCCACCGTGGTCTCAGGATGAAACTAGCCTCTGAAACCACCTCTCTGACCTGTTCTGCTCCTACTGCTTCCCTTTCTGTAAGAAATCACTTGAACAAGAATCCTAATCTCAGGATTAATTTCCAGGAAGCCCAACCTATGACAAAAGGAAATACAGAAATAAATCCTAGTAGCTTTGAAGACAAATAAACATCATCAGAGAAGTTTATTTTTACAGGCTCTGGACCAAATGTATCATTTGGTCATTGTCGTTATCATTACAGGCTCTGTATCATTCACCACATAGAAACATTCTAAAAACATATTTTATGGATATTATTTCTAATCTCCAATTATCCATAGTCTTGCAAGGTATTAAAAATGTCTTTTGTGGCCGGGCGCAGTGGCTCACACCTGTAATCCCAACACTTTGGGAGGCCGAGGCGGGCGGTTCACGAGGTCAGGAGATCGAGACCATCCTGGCTAACACGGTGAAACCCCGTCTCTACTAAAAATACAAAAAAAATTAGCCGGGCGCGGTGGCGGGCGCTTGTAGTCCCAGCTACTCGGGAGGCTGAGGCAGGAAAATGGCGTGAACCCAGCGGGGCGGAGCTTGCAGTGAGCCGAGATAGCGCCACTGCACTCCGGCCTGGGTAAAGAGCGAGATTCCATCTCAAAAGAAAAAAAAAAAAAAAGTATCTTGCTTTTTCTTATTAATAGCAATCTCTCATCCATAGTCTGCTCTGCTCTTTAATTCACCAGAGTCATGCTGCCCACTTTCTGACTGATAGTGATAGCATAGGTATCTCTACGGCTTTGTCTAATAATGATAATAATAACAGTAAGTGCTGACATTTCTTGAACACTTTTACATACCAATAGCTTTTGGAAGTACTTACATAGATGAACTCATTTAATCCTCAAAATGGCCCCATGAGATAGGGATCATTATTGTCCTTGTTTTGAAGAAGAGGAAACTAAAGCACAAAGTTTTTAAAGGCAACTTCTCAAGGTCACACAATGTGAATAGAGGCGTTAGGTTATTCCAATACAGCCTTTCTGAATACAGAGATCATGTTTTAACCACTAGTCTCCTATATCCTACCCCCTCCCCACTCTACGACAGCTGAGGTGATATAATGGCTCCACAGTCTCTCCGTTCTCTGTTACTTCCCATGGAGGAAAATACATAAGTTGCCCATATGATATATAGTCCTTGTCTCACCCAGAAAGATTTTCTTGTGAAAAAATAAGTGTTTATTATGGGAGATAATAAATATGTTATCTTACATGACAAAAAAGAATTTGCAGATGTGATTAAGTTAAAGACCTTGAGATGAAGTGATTATTCTGAATTATCTGGGTGGCCTACTGTAATCACAAGGATCCTTAAAAAAGGAAGTGGGGAGCCAGATTCAAGAGCCAGGTGTCAGAGAAGCAGAGAAACATAACTCAGTCCAATGTTGCTGGCTTTGATGATGAAGGAAGGGGTTCAAGGCCAAGGAATGCAAGTGCCCTCTAGAAGCTGAAAAACAAGGAGATGGATTCTCCCTTTATCCTTTAGAAGGAAACACAGCCCTGCCAGCACTGTGATTTTAGGCAATGGAATTTATTTGACTTTTAACCTTCAGAACCATTTTGTGTTTTAAGCCAGTAAGTTTGTATTAATGTGTTACAGCAGCAGTAGAAAATTAATGCAGAGATTGAGATAATGCATGTAAGGCGATTACCATGGTGCATAACTGGAACATAGACCTAGTCTCCAACTATTAGGTATTATTATTATTGCTGTTTTTATTTATTATTAATGATATCATTTTGAATGTCTGAGAAGGCTTCAAAGAGCAGTTATAGTCTAACTTGGTCTTGAAATATTGATAAACTAAAAACAATGGGAAGTGCCTGGTGGAAGGAAAAATGTTGGCAAAAATGTGGTAATGGATAACACAAGGTTTGCTGAGAGGCGGGTTTTGGAGATCCTTCAATGACAAACTTTATGCAATTGGAAACCTTTAGAGTTAGTGATACGTTGGAAGCTTTGTTTTCAAGAATTTAATCTGGTGGGTAATTGACAGGGGGCAAAGTTCAAGAAAAAGACACTGACTCTAGTACTGAGATAAGAGCAAGAATTAAAGAAATATAGTGGAAGAAGGCCAGGCGTGGTGGCTCACACCTGTAATCCCAGCACTTTGGGAGGCCGAGGGGGGCAAATCACGAGGTCAGGAGACCGAGACCATCCTGGCTAACACAGTGAAACCCCGTCTCTACTAAAAAATACAAAAAATTAGCCGGGCGTGGTGGCGGCCGCCTGTAGTCCCAGCTACTTGGGAGGCTGAGGCAGGAGAATGGCGTGAACCTGGGAGGCGGAGCTTGCAGTGAGCCGAGATCGTGCCACTGCACTCCAGCCTGGGCGACAGAGCGAGACTCCATCTCAAAAAAAAAAAATATATATATATATTATATATAGTGGAAGAAGAAATAATGGGATGGCTAGAGTATGAACTTCCTGAGGGCTGGGCCTCTGTATCACTCATTTTTGGGGCACACCTAAGAGACAGTGTGACAGTATTGATTATGAAATATATACTAGTTTAACAAAGAAAGAAACCATTTAGAGAAAAGGCTAAATAAGATGTGACTTACGTCTCCAAGTTCTGGGATAACATCTAGTATCTTTCTTTGAGCCTCAGTGTCTAGGAGAGTGTTTCCACTAATGCTCAAAAAAAGATTTATTTTGGATGGGTTTTATGCTTTTATTTCAACCCCATAATGAACTAAAGCTCTGTAGAGAGGCAAGAATCAGAGATACTTGAATTGCCAGTAAAGAGATGATAATTGAATTAGTAAACGTGAGTAAACAAAACATCAGGATATAGTCCATATGGGAAAAACTCTGGATGATCCAGCAATTGCTATCACTGCCCAGAATCTGAGTCTCAAACTTCTTACTCCTTGACCAGTGTGTTCATGTCATACCACGGTTGTCTGATTAGAAATACTAAATGACTAATAATTATTAACAATATTTTTCTTTTAAGCTACAAGCCAGAAAATATATCTACCTTCAACCTTGTTGTGATTATTAGTTAGCAAATGTTTCTAATTAATGTAAATCTTAAGGAGGCAGATACTGAAGAAGTGAAAGTACTTGGGATAATAATGTAGAAAAAATCAAGATACTGTTTTTATATTAGCAAGGATTCATATGCTTTTATATGTTCCCAGCAAAATAATCATGATCTCCCCCCACTCATTAAATCATTTGATTGCACACTCGGTCTTTTAAGAGTTCGCAAATGTCATGCAGTTTTAATATGATATTTGTGTGTGTGTGTGTGTGTGTGTGTGTGTGTGTATTTTGGGAAAGGTGTGCTTGCTAATAAATTTAAGAAAGCATGGCTGCATTTCATATGGCACCTAACCTCACTACTGTGAAATATTGTCATGGTTACCTGCAAAGCAGCAGGATGTATGTGGGTGAAAGATGAGGTTCAAACAGTATAAGAATAGGCCCTTTAACAGAAACCAGATTATGGACAAAGAGAGGAAGGTGGAGGAAGGTAGGAGGAAGTGTGAGCAGACCAATGTTTAGCTGTTTTTAAAATAATGCATTGACTAAATAATTTCTTTTCTGTAGTCATGACCTGATAATTATTAGTTTCAAATGGTTGCATCTCAGAGACTGTGTCCTTTATGGAAGTTGCCCCACAACAAATTTGAAGAAAGTGGGAGTGAAATTATAAGTTATAAAAGTAAGGGAATTATTTAAGGAAATGATGAGTGTGTTCATTAGGACACAGGGTGGTCCCCGTACTTCAGGCTTTTGGAGATTATTGAAACACTTAATAATCCAGCTTGTAAGCTTTAGTACATTTACCTAGAATCTTTAGACACCTTTGTGTTTAAAGTGCTTTGCAATGAATAATTTGTTGTTCATAAGCCCTCTCGTAAAAAAACAAAATTTCTTTCTATGGTTATTAAAAGTCTTCGTTATTGCCTAGATTTGTCAAAATCTAGGTTCATTCGACTTATTTGTAAAAAGTTCCTCATTATTTCATTCTGTTTCCTACTTTTCAGCAGCTTGGTTAAAGTGTAATATTCTCTTATTATTTTTACACTCCTCTATGAATTTAGGAGAGAGAGAAAATGGCTAAAAAGAAATGGCATTTTTAAAAGCATAGACAGTTGAATAACAAATTTAACAACATTCTATCTAACCCTTAGCAAATACCAACCTAGGCTGTGGAGCAACAAAAACTAATAGAATATGGTCTCCGTCATTAGGAATCTCACAGGATGGAAAAAAAAAAAAAACACGCCACATGCACAAAACAGAAAAAAAGACAAATGTGATGAGCCCCATGTGAAGCTGAGGAGCAAAGGGATTTGGGACTACAGAAGACTGAGCAATTAAAAGGAGACTAAGTTATAGACAAAGGTTATTAAAACAAAACTCTGACACAAGCTTGTTTACTATTCATATAATGAATATGAGAATTCATACTTAAAACAAGTTTCTGAACATTCCCGTTAGGGGTAACGTAAAACTAAGGACATCCTGTCACCCAAACAAAAGCAACAAATTCTTTTTGAAAGATATAGATTCCTTGAGTCTGATGATTCCATCTTAATTTACCTACTCTTGTAAATAATCTCGGATTAATATTTTGTAATTGAAAATCATCTTATTTCTCTTACCACAGGCCTAAAATTGCTTTAGAAATATTTAAAAATGAATTGAATGACTAGATAAAATGAAAACAAGTTTGCAAAAAAAATATACAACTTCATGAAATAGAATCTGATTTATGAAGATACTCTTTCCATGAGGTTTAACTTTTTTTCTAATAAATATTTTAGTACTATTATTTCTGCAGTTTAAATTGATGCTAAAGATGTATAGAAATGAAACTGGTAAGAAAAAAGCGATTTTTTTTGTTTGTTTTGTTTTGTTTTTAATTCCCAGAGGAAAAGCCTCAAGCTGCAGCAGGACAGTTTTTCTCCAGGGTCCAATTATAACAGAGCCAATTATGTTTTGGGATGCATTCACGACCCTTGCAATTCTTCTACATGCATACATAAAACTCTGCACATGTATGTGTCAGAATTTACTAATATGGATTCCAAATATTGCTTCATCCATCAACAGAACTGTACACCCAAAAACGAAGTGGAAACTAAAATGTGCTTCATTAGCTTTTCAAATAATGTTAAATTTACAGACATGCTAAAGAGCAGGCTGCTGACTCAGATTGAGCCACACTCTTCAAGGTAAGAACCAATAAAGGTAAATATTTTCAGTTGATGATACAATTTTATTCTTTAAAAAAATTAGGCCGGGCGCGGTGGCTCACGCCTGTAATCCCAGAACTTTGGGAGGCCAACGCAGGTGGATCACGAGGTCAGGAGATCAAGACCATCATAGCTAATATGGTGAAACCCCATCTCTACTAAAAATACAAAAAAATTAGCCGGGTGTGGTGGCGGGCACCTGCAGTCCCAGCTACTCCTGAGGCTGAGGCCGGAGAATGGCGTGAACCCAGGAGGCGGAGCTTGCAGTGAGCCGAGATCCTGCCACTGCACTCCAGCCTGGGCCACAGAGCGAGACTCCATCTCAAAAAAAAAAAACAAAACAAAACAAAAAAAAACATTACAGCTGCCTTTTTGTGTCCCTGTATCTCACCAGCACACACAAAATCCACAGTCTTTTACAAGTCGAAATCTAAGATCTCATTTGCAGCCCGTTGACCTAAAATCCATAGCATTGTTGTGAAGTGCTGTGAACAAAAGCCAATACATCACTGTATACTACATGCTCTCTGGTTCTCATAATGGGAAAAAGATTCAGGAAGCAATACAAACATTTGCAAAGGAAAGAATCTTTTCTTATGAGATTTTGGTGTGACTTGTCTTTAAGGTGAATTGAGCTGTCATTCTTTTTTTTCCTATAAATAAAACATTACTGTTTTAATGCCAGCTGGGTTTTCCCCCTTAGAATATAACTTATAATGGAAAAATAATTCTCTTTTTGGAGAATAATTTTTTTCTTGTTCAATAACTCTAAGCCTTCTAATTCTTGCTTTGTCATTCTAGAACATACATCAGTAAGCATTCTATGATAACCGGAATAATATTTGTAAACATATTAATAAATGTTTTGCCATAGATTTAGAGCTGTAATTTTAGAGGTGAAAGCCATTCAGAAATCTCTCAATTTTAGTGATATGTAATTTGAGGGCCACAAATATTCGTGGCCAGGATCTCCTGTGAGGGTCAGAAATGACAATAAGATAAATCTTACGATGAACTTTTGTTCCTTATTAGAGGGAGAAAAACACTTCAATCAAATATTTGGTTACATGCTTTTTTTTAAAAGGCAGCAATAGTCCATTAATGGTTGTGAGTCTGGAGGGTAGACTGGAAACTTAAGCTTCTCTTCTCTCTCTCCCCAGTGATGTTGATAGAATTTTTTAAAACTTCTGCACTCACAAAGAGAACAAAAAGGTGTGGTATCAGCAGGCAAGAGGTTTTATCAAATGTCTGGAAGACAGAAAGTGGATGGAAGAATGCCAACAGATAGAGCAGGCTGTGGGAATCCATTGTACAATCCCCACAGAGGAAATGAAGAGGAGGGAGTCCAAATTTGAACATGGAAATGTCTTATGTTACTGAGCACCAGGCACTTGACACCCCCTCCTCAAACCTCCACATGCAGAACAGCCTGCTGCCAGCATGTACCCAGTGAAACCTCCAACAGACTACGGTTCTCTAAATGACTCAATAGAGCCCTCTGGTAAGAAGTAAAGAAGCGAATTTGGATGTTGGCACCCCAGTTTAAATCTCCTTTAATTCTAGAATGTAAGGCATATCTGAAATAAAAGCCAGGTGTCTGAATTACCCTTCAGAATCAGTCAACATACTCTGTTAATGTACAAAGAGCACTTTTTTCCTATTATTTATTAACCAATAACCCAAGATATTACTCATATTATCATTATGGATTGATAATTAAAATGTTTGAAAGAATACAAATATAAAAAATTAAAAGATAGTACCAAGAGGAAATCAAGGCAATTTGCAGAACAAAGATAACATTCAAGAAATTGTTTACTGTCTTTATAGACATTCACTAAGATATTGCATCTATGAAAAATAATTACACGCTATGTAAAAGTAGCAATAAAAATAAAAAAAGCTACTGAAAATGAAAATGTATAATTGACAAACATAAACTGCATATGAACTTTGGAAGAGTAAATAAAGTATCCTGGAATATAGAACAAAATAATATAGAGTAAAAAAAAAGGAAAAATCTTAGATATAAATGATTAAGGGTCCTAACATGACTCAGTGGAGTTCAAATAGAGACTAAATTGCAGAAAATGGAAGGAGTGAATATAGGGGGAATTATCAAAGAAAAAATAGGCCGGGCGCAGTGGCTCACACCTGTAATCCCAGCACCTTGGGAGGCTGAGGCAGGTGGATCACCTGAGGTCAGGAGACCAGCCTGGCCAACATGGTGAAACCATGTCTCTACTAAAAATACAAAAACTAGCCAGGCATGGTGGCACACACCTGTAGTCCCAGCTACTAGGGAGGCTGAGGCAGGAGAATTGCTTGAACCTGGGAGACGGAGGTTTCAGTGAGCTGAGATTGGCCCACTGCACTCCAGCCTGGGTGACAGAGCCAGGTTCTGTCTCAAAAAAAAAAAAAAAAAAAAAAAAAATAGGAGAGGGACAAACAAGTGTTCAGAATGAGAATTCCCATGGAGGGCTGATGCAGATGAATTTAAAAAGATCTAAGGATAAAGAGAAGATTTTAGAAATTGAGATTGGTGTACACACACATGAGAGCATGTCAGTGAGACAGATTGATCTGAGGATATACTTTGGCAAAATGATGGATTAACTAAGAATGATTAAGACATTGGATCCAGTAAAAGGTGAATTTAAACCAAAATAGAAATAAAGAGAAGTCCCAACATGACAGTTCTAAAGCAGGCCTGGAGAGCAATCTGTCCAAATCAGAGCAGAAAGATGGAAGCTTCCTGGAAGGTATTTCTAGGGGGAAATAAAGTTCAAAACAAAGACAGTGTGGTTGCCAAGTTGGAATAAATTGAGGATATGAAAAAGGTGATGGCAGTGAGCCAGCTGAGAAATAAGCATGATAGTGGAGGACTTGAGAAAATATTGGATTTGGGTTAGATTTGGAAGTTAAAACTGATCAGATTTGCTAGAAGATTGGATGGTTGATGTGAACAAAAGAGCAAGGTCAAGTATAAGTCCAAGATTTTCATTTTAACTACCCAAGGGAATAAGAAAGGCCCTCAGAAATGTAAGGGTCAATGAAATATCTGTGCAAGAATGTGTGGTTTGTACAGACATAAGTCCAAATTAGAGCCAAAAGTCTGTGGGGTTCAAGAAGAATAAAATTAAGGAATGAAACTAAGATTAAAATTAAGGACTAAATGGCATGATTCATATTAAAGATACTGAAGATAATGTGAGGTAAGCAAACATAGCTTTTACACAAAATGAGAGGAAAAAAGGGATGTCGTAAACTTCAGGCAAAAACAAACTAACTACCAAACTGTATAAAATATGCATGACCTAACAAAGTAAATAGTTTTAGTTGGATAAAACTAACCAACGCCTGGCATTAGTTTGAGTCGTTCATTCATGTAACCATTCTCAATTCATCCATTTGTATAACAATGAACTGCTATTATGTATCAGACAGTATTCGATATGTGGAAGAAATAATAGTAGACAAAATAGATAAGTCTTTTATAAGCTTTCATTACATGAAGAAAGTGGATGATAAACAAATAAGAGATATAAATATAGTGTAAGTAAAAGTACATTGCAGTAAACAAAATAGAGTCAGAAAACAGAGAGTAGTGAAGAACACTTTTAAAAATGATGCTTGAGACCATGTGTGGTAGTGCACACCTGTAATCCCAGCACTTTGGGAGGTAGAGGCAGGGGTATCACTTGAGGTCAGGAGTTCGAGACCAGCCTGGCAACATGGTGAAACCCCATCTCTACTAAAAATACAAAAATTAGCCAGGCGTGGTGGCACATGCCTGTAATCCCAGCTATTCAGGAGGCTGAGGCAGGAGAATCTCCTGAACCCAGGAGGCGAAGGTTGCAGCGAGCTGAGATCATGCCACTGCACTGCAGCCTGGGCGACAGAGCGAGACTCTGTTTCAAAAAAAAAAAAATATATAAAAAAATAAAAATAAAAAGACAAAAATCAGCCAGGCATGGTGGTACACTTCTGTAGTCTGTGCTACTTGGGAGGTTGAGGAGGGAGGCTCACCTGAGCCTGGTAAGTCGAGGCAGCAGTGAACTGTGATAGCACCACTGTACTCCAGCACTCCAGCATGGGTGAGAGAGCAAGACCTTGTCTCAAAATAATAATAATAATAATAATAATAGTAATAAATAAAGAAAGAAAAAAATAAAAAATTTAAGAGATTGAGAAATTGTTCCTTGAGGAAATGACCTTTAAGCAGAGATATGAATTAAGTAGGGAGAGAGTTACTGAGATATCAGATACATATTTTAAAAGTTGTTCTAGAAAGTCTAAATTTTCTTGAATCAGTACTGTGCATTAGTATGAAGGAAGCAAGAATAAGTGAGAGGCAACATGAAAAGAGAAGTTGGAAGAAGAGTTGGATGCCAGATTACGCAGATTTTGTACTTTATTCTAAGTGGGATGGGAGGTTTGTAGAGAGTTCTGGAGAGGAACAAGAGGATCTGATTTACATTTTAAAAGGTTTGGCCGGCTGTGGGAAGATTGAGAGGGTGGACTCAAGAGGGGAAACAAGATAAATTAGGAGTTAATGATAGTCATCCAGGTGAGAATAGATATAGTATGATGTAATTATTACATATTGCATGCCTCTATCAAAATATCTCATGCACTCCATAAATGTATACACCTATTGTATGCCCATGAAAATTAAAAATAAAAAACATTAATATAGGGAACCTACAGACATCAAGCACAGCATCTTCTGATTGTTTATTATAGTCTTGTATGGTTTGTAAAAAAAAAAAAAGAGGGAGAAAGACAAAATAGATATAGCAGTGGAAGTGTTGAGAAAATATTTGATTTGGGTTATATTTTGAATGTAGAGCTGACAGAATTTGCTAGAGAACCAGATGTTCAATGTGAAAGAAAGAGCAGGATCGATCAAGCATAACTTCAAGATTTTCATTTTAACAACTGGGTAAATGGTGCTGGCATTTATTGAGATGAGGAAAAAATAGGGTGGTTCTTAGCAGTGAACACCTTTGCTATTAAGATTATTTCCTCTGCTATGAGTTTCAGGAGCTCATTTGGAAAAGCACAACCATAATTTGACTCCTAATTCTAAGCTGTATTAGTCTTTTCCCTGTAGCAGAGAATATAGAAAGCTATTGTTCCTGTCTAAACTGAGGTAAGAAATGAAAACAAGCATATACTGGGGAAAGGGAACATGTGTTACTATTTCAAAATATGATCAATGTAATATGTGTGTATAAATACATAGGCACATATGTACAAATTATATATACATTCTTGTTAAAGCATCCATGAAGCATGTATAAGCTCATTATACAATGTTATCTTAGTTTGGGATCTCTAGAAGCAGAGCATGAGACAGAAATTTGGATGCCTGTCATTTATTGAGGGAGTGCTTTTCAGAGGGAAGAAACCTAAGGAAGGTAGGGAGTAAGGGCATTCGGATAGGAATGAGGAAGGGGCTGAGCCAGTCCCACACAGCATGATGGGGAAGGAGATGCTAAGAGCCGTAACTGCACCTGTAATTTCTTTTACCTTGAGATGAGGGGGTTGGACTTTCATATTCTCTATCAGTTAGTCATTGAGTGATTATGGGCTTCCCTAGATGGGTGCCCTCATCAAATTCTTTTTTTTTTTTTTTTTTTTGAGATGGAGACCCACTCACTGCAGCCCAGGTTGAAGTGCAGTGGCATGATCTCACCTTACTGTAACGTCTACCTCCTGGGTTGAAGCGATTCTCCTACCTCAGCCATTGTGAGGAGTCAGATCCAAGAAGGAAGAGGAATGCATCTACATGAAAAGGAAAATGCATCTATAGAGAAAATTGGAGATTGGTAACATAAAGGGGATTGACGAAAGAAGTAAATATGTTAATCATCATGACAACCAGATTCCTCGATATCATAAAAGGGAGATAGAAATATGAAAGGGAAGAAACTAAACTGAACCCTGTGGGGTTGAATGGGAGCTGGATGGGTAAGTGTGAACTAAAGGTTTCCAACAGACCAACACATAAGGCAGTAAATACAGATGTATATTGTGTTATGTTGCATGTGTACACACACACATTCCCTAGGTCTGTCCATTATCTGGGATCGGATCAGTAACATCTCAATAACACAAGCAAACTTAGAGTTCAAAACTTGGCTTCTCAAAACCATTTCCACTAAAAGTAATCAGGGCTCCTGGTAGAAATGATAATATCATAGCTGGAGCAAGAAAATTATGAGATGAACCTAGAATATCTTGTGCCAGAAACAAAGAAACACTCAAAGAATAAAGGCGATATATCAAAAGAACACAAAAGCCAGCTTAAAATGGGTCCCATTGGTCAACTAAGAAACAACATCAACAAGACAATAATGATAGTAATGGATTATAGCTTATTGAATCAAGTGGGAACCATGAATCTATACCAAAATAAATAAATTAATAAATTGAAACTGTAATAAGGAATAGGATATTTACATGGCTTTGAAGTCTCTTTACACAAAATATTTACTAATTTCCAAAAAAAAAAGAGAGCAACTTTACAGTAGGCAATCTGAGTAGACATCATCTTAATCAAGTGGTCAAAGTGAGCCATCATTAATGATGGAAAAAGCTGAAATCATGTGTCACCTGAAAGGATGCAAAGAGGAGGATACAGTCACTGCTGTCATATTCCTACCAAAGATACATAATCTGAATCTAATCATGAGGAAACATCAGACATGCACAAACTAAGGGGCATTCTACAAAATTATTACCAGCTACAGCAATGCAAAGGTCATGAAAATCAAGGGAAGACTAAGGAACTCTTCCATACTAAAGGAGGATAAACAAATATGAAAGTTTTTCTTTTCCTTGTTTTGGATATAGAGTCTCACTCTGTCACCCAGGCTGCAGTGCAGTGGCACCGTCACAGTTCACTGTAGCCTTAACCTCCCAGGCTCAGGTGATTTTCCTACCTTAGCCCCTCGAGGAGCTGGGACTACAGGTGTGTGCCACCATACCCAGCTAAGTTTTGTATTTTTTGTAGAGACATGTTTTCATCATGTTGCCCAGTTGGTCTCGAATACTTAGGCTCAAGCAATCCGTCCACCTCAGCCTCCAAAACTGCTGAGATTACAGGCATGAGCCGCCTTATCCAGTCTTTTTTTCTTTAACAAAATGGAAAATATAAATCTGTATGAGCCACATACTGCTATATAAATTATATTTTAGTCATGATGTTGCTTGATGTAATTATAAACTGATGATGTTGGTTAATATGATTATAAATGAAATCATTTTGCAGAAAAGAAATTTTTAAAACAAGTAGCAATACATGAATGGATTCTGAGAATAAGATGGAAAAATGTATCAGTGTTACTTTTCTAATTTTGATGGGTGTATTGTGGTTACATAGAAGGAAAGTCCTTGTTTATGGGAACTACACAATAAACTTTAGTATTTGAAAGGAATGGGATATCTATTTGGCAAATTAGCTTTCAAATAATTCATTTAAAAGATCTTTCTTTTCTGCAAATTTTTGGTTATTTCAAGATAAAAAATTAAAATTCCCAAAATTTATATTGACAAAATATCTCAAAACAATTCTGAAACCAGGTAGTTTGATTTTACACTTTTGAAATAAATTATCTCATATTTTATATAAAAATATTATCTTTAGTCCTGGCGCGGTGGCTCACGCTTGTAATCCCAGCACTTTGGGAGGTCGAGGCTGGCGGATCACGAGGTCAGAAGATCGAGACCATCCCGGCTAACACGGTGAAACCCTGTCTCCACTAAAAATACAAAAAATTAGCCAGTCGTGGTGGTGGGCGCCTGTAGTCCCAGCTACTCGGGAGGCTGAGGCAGGAGGATGGCGTGAACCCGGGAGGTGGAGCTTGCAGTGAGCTGAGATCGCGCCAGTGCACTCCAACCTGGGCGACAGAGTGAGACTCCATCTCAGAAAAAAAAAAAAAAGAAAAATATTACCTTTATAAACTGCCTTAGAATCTAGACAAAGAGGAATACCATTTCAACGTGGTATATGAAGTTATTATCATTCTGACACCCAAATGTCAAAATTTGTATATATGCTATAGAAAGTAATCACTTCTGTGACTATAATATATCCTAAATAAAATACCATCATTCTTAATTCCCTAGTAAATCATGAGCAATTAGGGTCAAGACCAGAAATAAATCTATTTAAAATGTAATGATTAAAAGCATGGGATCTGAGGTAAAATACATGTGATCTTGAATCCTTAAGCTGTCACTAGCTGGGTGAACTTAGATAAGCTCTCTGATCTCATTAAGTTTCAGTTTCTTTCTTATTAACCTACTTCATATAGGTGGAGGAAATAATTGAAATATACATATATATATAGGTGCTAATTATTACTAAAAGTAGAAGATTCATCAGTAATTATCTATTTACCTAATCAGAAAAATTAGAGTAGCCTCCTTTGATTCTAGAAGAGAACTTCATAAATTATAATACCTAATCCAGGACAGAATGGTTATAGGACCAATAGGTTTATATGCCTGCTATGCAGTAACAGACCAATACATCGAGACAGCAAGGATGCAGCAGAGAAAGCATTTAATGGTCAAAGGATGCTGAGCAAGGAAATGGAAGGATACCCTCAAATTCATCTCCTCTAAGAGTTCTGGGCTGGAGTTTTTTAAAGGGGATTATGGAGAGTGAGGGGCTGGAAAATTGGTGTTGCTGATTGGTTGGGGTAAGTAAGGGGAATGAAATCCTTGGGACATGGAAACTGAATTCTTTGGTGAGTCAGCTTCTTGTGGGGTCCTTCAGACCAGCTGATGTTGCTAGTTTCACTGATATGCAGGACCTGAGGAAATATCTCAAAGGGAAAACTTAATGTTTTATGTTCAAGTCATTATCTATAGAGCAGTTAAGGGGAACTATAATCTTGTAACAGGGTCTACAAGATTCCAGGGCAGTAGGCACCAAACTATGAGGAAGCATGTCAGAGAGCAAGCTGACCTGATGATTAATGCTGACTGTGTTGCAAGCTTGGCTTATTTTCATTTCTCACCCCCTGCCCCGCTTCTTCCCTGATTATTTTGTAAAGTTTACAGGGATGGTTTCAGAATTCATGCACATACACATACACACATAACTAGCACTAAAGTGATTTAATCTTTAACAAATTAGAGAATATCAATCTGTGTAAGTCATATGTTGCTACATAACAAATTATGTGTTGGTTGAGGTTGTAGTCATCTAAGGGCTAAACTGGAGCTCAAGGTTCTATTTTCAATGTTGCTAAACCTCATGAATAGTAAGATGAAACTAGCTGTTGGGAGGAAGTCCTCAGTTTTCCCTCCATGTGAGCTTGTTAAGGGCTGTTTGAATGTCATGGTACCTGGCTTCCCATAGAATGAGCAATCCAAAAGAGCAAGGCACAGGCTACAGTGCCTTTTGTTACAGTAGCCTAGGATGTCATTCCATCACATAGACCAGACCTGTTTCAGGGTGGAACGGTATTATGCAAGGGGATGAATAAGAAGAATTATGGATCACTGGGGGTCGTCTTGGAGCCTGGCTATCACACTATCTTAAACCAATAGCCACTGCCTCATCTATGCTGAAACTTGGAATGGACAACTGTTGGTTCACTACATTACTATCCCCACAAAACCCCCTATTTTAGTGACATCCACTCACCACAAACCAAATGGGTGCACCAGATACCTGCTGCTTATAGAAACTGACTCAAGGTCATGATCACATTTTTTGGTCACATGACTCAGACTAGGCCAAGCAGTCTCTCTTTTCTATAAATTTGCCTTGGGACAAGGAGTTTCCAATATAAGTCTTGCTATTTTCTTGAAAGAAAATGTTTTAAACTCAGAATTGGCTAGTGGTCATTTTGCAGCTTAAGAGAAAAAAGAAGCAATGTACAAAAAGAAATAGATGAGAACTGGAGGGAGAATGTACACAGAAGTGGTTTTTGGTTGGTTGCCCATGCAGTATCTGTTTTATCTTTCAAAATTCCCGGCATATCTATATTTCCTTTTGGTGATATTAGAGATGCTGATATCACTCCTGACTTGTGGAGGAAACCACATAACCAAAGCACAGTTGATGATCACATTCCATCTTCAGGACACAGCTATGGCCTGGGGAACTTGCAAGCATAGTTTGGTCTCAGAAACTCTCAGGTTTTTTAAAGACATTTGCTCTTTCCTGAAATAATGAGAATACAAGGTAGCCTTAGGGTCTATTCGCTGCCATACTGAGATTAGGCTTAGGATAAATCTGGCATTGAGAAAGGTAGTGGAAAAAAAAAAAAAGAAAATTGGTCCTTGTTGATATATTGAGAAACTATGGTTGGCTTTATATGAAGCCTCACCTGTCTCTGGACTTCTCAGTTATATGAGCCAATAAAGAGCCATTATTTTTCTGAAAGCTAGGGGAATTTTTATTTTGCAAATATAAAAATGTAAGAATACCTTTTTTTCTTTTTTCAAAATTTTGCTGGGAGAAAATAACAATAATTCCCAGATCTCTGGAAGGAGCCTAATGTGAGAATATTTTTAGTCTTGGCGATATTTTCACATTTCTTTTATTTACAGAGTTTCTTTTCTCCCTTCTTATAGTTTAGAGGAGAAGGCCTCTAATTATCCAGGCTTTACCCACAATGGGAATAGTTTTCTCTCCATATAATCATCAACCTAACAAAAAGCCTTAGCTATGTCTTCTGGCTTACAGAATACAGTTTGAATTCATGTCCATTTTACACATAAGATTGTTTTTCTGTATTTCTGTATTTTTTTCCCTACTCAAACTTCTAATTAAAAATTCAAATCTACAGAATGTTGAAAGAATATTGCAAAGAACAACCATAAATACTTGACCTAGATTGAGCCCATTGTTAATAATATTTTGCCACATTTGCTCTATCTATCTTCCTACTCTCCTCTGTGTGGATACATACACAAACATAGACACAAATTTTGTTTTAGTTATCTACTGCTGGAATTCGCACACCCTCACACCTAGTGGCTTAAAATGCAATTTATTATTGCCTTTCATGCTTTCCTGGGCTGATTGGGATTAGGTAGGTGGTTTTTGCTTGGGGTCTCTCATGTGATATATATTTAGCAGTGGCTGTCGCTAAGGTTGGCTATTTGTTTCAGTTAACTGAACACCTAAGATGGTCCACTCGCACTGCTATCATCTGTTGACCAGAGTGGCCTCCTGTATTAACTGTATTTTCATGTTTTCTTTATTTTTGATGCACTGGAATCTGGTGTTTTGTTGCCTGGGGAGATAACGCCCCTCGTAGGCTAGCCAATTATTAGATATAGCAAACAACATGGCCAGCAGGGTGCCTTAATATGCGAATTAAGCAATTCAGAGCCCATACTCTGAACTACTTCCTCTAGCTGGCTCTTACGTCCCAGTAGACAATATTCCTATTTCCTAATCATCTTAAAGCCAATTACCAGGCAAGCAGTGATAAGCCCTAGACCACAGAGCCTGCTGAAGTTATTCAAACTAGTCAATCCTCAGCCTGCTAATCCTGCCTTGCCTTTCTCACGAAAACCACAAGAAAGTCTCCTGCCCATGTTTCCCCCTCCCCACTTGTCTCTCCTGAATGACCCTGGTGATTCCCCGCGTGCATGCCTCTCCTCTTGGGATCTGTGAGTGACAAACTACTTTGAATGGTAGTCATCTCTTGATCTGTCAGCCTCATTATACCTAAATAATAATAAAACCCACATTTAAAAACAACTTTCTATGTGGCTTAGCCTTCTCACAGTAAGGTGAATGTCTATAGGACATAGAAGCTTCCAATCTCTTAATGCTTGGGCCCAGAAACTGGCACAGCACACTTCTACCACATTCTATTGGTCAGAGCAGTCACAGAGCCTGTGCCATTAAAGGGCAGGGTACATGGACCCCACCTTCTATTGGAATAAATGTCAAAGAATTTGTGGCCATCCTTAGTCTGCCATAGTCTATCTTAAGTCCACAAATTATTTCTATGGCTCCTATATGTGAAATTTATTCAACCTCTTCTCATTTCTAAGATCCCAGTATCTCATAACTATTAAAGCATCAGTCTAGGAGTTTGTCACTGAATTCAGGTCCAGATGCAGATGAAGTTACTTGAACATGATTCCTTGGGTCTAGGTGCAGTGAACATCCTTGGATGTTGCTTGTTGAGTATAACTGCTTACCATCTGAAGACCTTGCCACTAAAGAGATAAGTTATTTGCTGTTCACAGACCCAACATACAATAGTGAAGCCGAGATTGAATAATCAAAATAGATATTCCCTTGGAAGGGGAGGAGAGAATGGGAAATGGAGTCATATAATAGTCACTGGTTTATAGCAATTCTGAAATCCAGCTGAGAGCCTGTCGCTGTTAATTAGGGCCTATTCCTATTCACTGGGAATAATTCTGTGAGGTTCCTGACTCTATCATCCACACTCTTAATTCTATTGGCTGAGTCATCCTCCCTTTTGGGTAAGAAATTTCCTATATGTGCAACTGAATAGATTTCTCAGCTTTCTCCCTGCCCTTAGAAGGTTGGGGAACCACAGGCCTATTTTTATGTTGTGCTGCCTCTGCTCCATAGTTTTCTATGAATCATATTGGGGTTCTCTCCATTATCTAAACACCAGACCCACAGATCTCTTTAGACAGACTCTCCCCTATCTTGAGCTCAGTGTGAAGCTTCTGTGGGACAGTGCCCTAAGGGTTCCTCGAAGCCTGCTGTTTAATACAGAGGGACTACAAAGAACATTCTTCAGTTCCTTAGAAAGTTTTTTGTTTAACTGAAATAGTCAATTAGATCTTTCTGTCTTATAGAAACAAAGGGTTCTACAGAGGTACCCAAGATTGATCTCTGCCCCAAATTCATGTCTTGTTTTGTGTTTGTTTATTTGTTTGTTTGTTTGTTTTTTCTGGGAAAGGCTAGAAACAGTTTTTTTCCTTCATGGTATTTTATCATAAAGAGTGTATTAGTTTTCAAGTGCTACCATAACAAGCTGCCATAAACTGATTGGTTTAAAACAACAGAAATTTGTTCTCTCACAGTTCCGGAGGCTGGAAGTCCAAAATCAAGTGTTGGTAGGGCCGTCCCCTCTCTGGAGATTCTAGGGGAGAACCTCTCCTATTCTCTTAGCTTCTGGTGTTGCCAAAAATCCGTGGTGTGTTCCTTGGTTATTAGACACATCTCTGCAATCTTTGCCTCTATTGTAACATGGCATTCTTCTGCTGTCTTTCCGTGTGTTGATGTCTCTTCTCTTCCTTATAAGGACACAAATCATACAGGACTATGGCTTACCTTAATGATCTCATCTTAACTTTATTACATATGGACAGACACTTTTTTTTTTTTTTTCAAATAAGGTTAAATTTACAGGTACCTGAGGGCTAAGACTTCAACATTATTTTCTTAGGGGACACAATTCAACCTAAAACAGGCAAACTAGAAGAAGCCAGTTTCCGCTTTTAAAATTCCTCCTGGAAATCTTCCCAGCTAGATTGGCAAGCTTACTAGGTACCCTTTCTATTTTCTTTTTATTGCAGGTACCAGTACTGCCAAACTTTTCTTATTCTGCCACAAGAATCCCCTTCTCTCCATCTTATACTCACATTTTCAAACCTTTACCAACTGTCTTCTCAAGGTTCTTCCAACTTCTGCCTACCACTCAGTTTCAAAGTCAATGCCACGTTTGGTGTTTTGATACAACAGTCTCTCTCTCTCCACACATACGTACATGCTCAGTTGTATATATATATTTACACACACACAAATACACATACACAGACATACATATATATATATATATATATATATATATATATATATATATATATATACATGGTAAGACTTATTTTTGGACATGAAGATACTAATGATACTGCATAAAAATCATCCTTCAGTACTTTGGCAAATGTGATCTAAGAATTTGGTTGTTTCCTTTCATTATTACAGTACAATTACTTGATTCAAAAAATTTAACTTGATACATCTTCAAATTTCCCATTTCCCATTTACAGTTTTTTAAAATCTGGAACCCAATTAAGAATGTCACATTTCAAAGATTTATGTCATTTTTGTTTAATTAATAATAATTTCTCACCTTTATTTTTTGTCTTTCATAATATTATCATTTCAAAAGAGTCCAGGCCAGTTGTTTTTCAGAATGTCACCTTCGTCTCCAAATTTCCCCAGACTATATAAACTGCTGATATTTGGTCACTTTTGACCTATAAAAACAAATTCTTATGATTCAACATAATAAATAGTTGATACAGCCTATCTATACCAGCAAGGTATAGAGCCATATAATAGCATTTTCATTATTAGTGGTTTTATTAAATTTAATAAGTGGTTAATGTTAATATCTACTCGAGTTTTCCATTGAAAATTTGTTATCTTACTTTGTAATTAATAATCTCTGAAGTGGGCTGGGCATGGTGACTCATGCCTGTAATCCCAGCATTTTGGAAGGCCTAAGTGGGTGGATCACTTGAGGTCAGGAGTTTGAGACCAGCCTGGCCAACATGGTGAAACCCTGTCTCTACTAAAAATACAAAAAAAAAAAAAAAAAATCAGCCAGGCATGGTGGCACACACCTGTAGTTCTAGCTACTTGGGAGGCTGAGGCACAAGAATTTCTTGAACCCTGGAGTTGGAGGTTGTAGTGAGTCGAGATCACACTACTGCACTCCAGCCTGGGTGACAGAGCAAGACTCTGTCTCAAAAAAAAAAAAAAAAAAAAAAAAAAGAATCTCTGAAGTTACACTTTTGAAATGTTCTAAATAATGTATTTTCCAAAACTTTTGCTCAATGGTTTAATAATTCATTGAGAATTCTTTTTGTATCAATGATTGTAATACAGTTGGAAAACAGTGGTTTTTTTTATCTCTATCATTCCTTCAATCTTTAGTAGTTGGTTTTCTTTTTTTCCCCTGCAAACCTATTTGTTCATATTATAAACTAATCTGATAATAGTTTCTTGACATGACAACTAAAAGCATGCAAAATTGTACAAATACTTGCCTTGAGAATTACATTTTTTAAGAAATTAAATGATTTGGCATAGGCTGGATGGACCTTAATGTGGCCCCATGATTCTTGTAGCTTGTGCTTCACCCTATATAATCCCCTCCCCTTGAGTGTGGGTGGGACCTATAACTTGCTACTAACCAATAGAATGTGGCAACCATGAAGACATTTTGTAGATGTAGCTAAGGTCCTAAATCACTTGTTTTCAGTTAATCAAAAAGAAGATCATTTGAGTGGGCCTGACTTAATTAGGTGAAGACTTTTAAAAGAAGGACAAGGCCTGGCTGCTGTGGTGGCTCACACCTGCAATCCCAGCACTTTGGGAGGCCAAGGTGGGCAAATCACCTGAGGTCAGGAGTTCAAGACCAGCCTGGGCAACATGGTGAAACCCTGTTTCTACTAAAAATACAAAAATTAGCTGGGCAGGGTGGTGGGCACCTGTAATCCCAGCTACTTGGGAGGCTGAGACAGGTGAATCACTTGAACCCAGGAAGCAGAGGTTGCAGTGAGCTGAGATTACACCATTACACTCCAGCCTGGGCAAGAGCAAAACTCTGTCTCAAAAAAATAAAGAAGGACAAGGCCCTCCCTGAGGTGACATGATGAAGGAAGTGGCCATGCTGGAGAAGATCACATGGCAGGGAACTGCAGGGCAGCTTCTAGGAACTGTAAGTAACTTCTAGGAAATGCACTTGGCCGATAGCACCTGAGGGCATCCTGCACAGACAGACAGCTGGTGAAAAAGCTGTGGCCTTCAGTCTTATAGCTACAAGGAAATGAATTCTGCCAAAAGCCTGAATAAGCTGGCAATCATATTTTTTTCCATGTCAAGCCTCCAGATGAAAGTTCAGCCTGGCTGACTCATTGCAACCTTATGAGACTGAGCAGAGGATCCAGTTTTGTCATGCCTTGTCTCTTGATCCATGGAATCAATGAAATGTATGTTGTTTTAAGCTGCTAATTTTGTGTTAACTTATTAAATAACAATAGAGAACTAACATACTTAGTAGAATACAAACAGTAAGTAAATGAAACTGGTTATGCAACTTTTTATCTAGCATAATCTCATTAAATACATATATATGTATATATATTTATATGGTACAAAGATTGGAAGAAAATATTAACAAACCATTAAGTATTTATCTAAGGAGGCTGGGATTGCAGGTGATTTTCATAGTCTTATTAATATTTTTGTGAATGTCACACATTTTGTATAATAAAAATTTACAGCCTGGTATGGTGGCTGACACCTGTAATCCCAGCACTTTGGGAGGCCGAGGCGGGCGGATCATGAGGTCAGGAGATCAAGACCATCCTGGCTAACACGGTGAAACCCCATTTCTACTGAAAATACAAAAAATTAGCCGGGCGTGGTGGTGGGCACCTGTAGTCCCAGCTACTCGGGAGGTTGAGGCAGGAGAATGGCGTGAACTTGGGAGACAGAGCTTGCACCACTGTGCCGAGATTGCACCACTGCACTCCAGGCTGGGCGACAGAGCGAGACTCTGTCTCAAAAAAAAAAATTACATAGAAATTATTTTTAATAAAAATTGTAGATAATTGATAAAAAGAAAAAAGTAATATAAGTTTCACTGAGAGAGTCACATGGTTAGCATCTTAGACCTGACGCTATCTCTAAATGGTTGAATCTACATTATTAACTAATCTCTGATGGAGAGGGGAAAATAGTTAATTCATAATCTCCTTTAAATGTCTAATATCTTGTAGTTCTATCGCCAATTTACCAGGCCAAAATATTTCCTTGTCATATTAACTAGAGCTTAATAAACATTCCATAAAAAAATCTGTATGTTTTTGACCCTTTTGATTTAAGAGTAGAATTACATGGAAGATCAGTAGGATTATCAATCTGCCTCTAATAATATATAACATGAATGCATCACATTACCACTATTACAACTGCTAGTATAAAATTTTCTCCTATCTTCAAAAAACTTTAGTAAACACAAAAGTCTTACTTTAATACTATCCTGATTTTGAGTATATCATATAAAAATTATATATTTAGGCTTTTAATTTTTTCAGAAACTAAAATCTTCAGAATAGTATTTAGGAAAGTACTGTAAATTCTAACTATAAAGCCAGAATGCATTTTAAGTTGATTTGAGAAATGGTTTCATCATATATAGCAATAAGAATAAGAATTCCTAATGTCTTTACTCAGAAAAATGCCCTATTTTTAGCTTCCTTGAAATATACCTACAGTAATTAAGCTAACACTAAATATATATGGCAGTTGATATGGTTTGGCTCTGTGTCCCCATCGAAATCTCATCTCGAATTGTAATCTCCACATGTAGAGGGAGAGATCTGGTGGGAGGTGATTGGATCATAGGGTTGGTTTCCCCCATGCTGTTCTCATGACAGTGAGTTCTCACAAGATCTGATAGTTTTACAAGGGCTCTTCCCCCTTCTTTTGTTTGCTCTCTCTCACCTGCCACCATGTAAGACATGCCTCTTTCCCTTCTGCCATGATTGTAAGTTTCATGAGGCCTCCCCAGCCATGGGGATCTGTGAGTCAGTTAAACCTCTTTTCTTTATAAATTACCCAGTCTTAGGGGAGTGAGTTCTCATGAGATCTGGTTGTTTGGTAAGTGTCTGGCACTTCCCCTGCATGTGTACTCTTTCCTGCTGCCATGAGAAAACATGCTTTGCTTCCCCTTTGCCTTCAGCCATGATTATAAGTTTTCTGAGGCCTCCCCAGCCACTCAGAACTGTGAGTCAATTACATTTTTTTTCTTTATAAATTACCCAGTCTCAGGTGTTTTTTTTTTTGAGACAGAGTATCGCTCCATTGCCAGGATGGAGTGCAGTGGCATAATCTTGGCTCACTGCAACCTCCACCTCCTGGATTCAAGTGATTCTCCTGCCTCAGCCTCCCAAGCAGCTGGGACTACAGGCATGAGCCACCACACCCAGCTAATTTTTGTATTTTTAGTAGAGATGGGGTTTCACCATGTTGGCTAGAATGGTCTCAATCTCTTGACTTCCTGATCTGCCCGCCTCGACCTCCCAAAGTGCTGGGAATACAGGTGTGAGCCACCACACCTGGCCTCAGGTATTCTTTATAGTGGTGTGAAAAGGACTAATATGGCAGCCAAAAGAGACTAGAAATAAACGTGCATTTTTTTCAGAATTTTTGCTCAATACTAATCAATACTACTTAATTAAATATATAGATTTGTGTTAATTGTTAAAAGGACTAAATTACTGAGTTGAATGGATTGCTTCTATGGGTCTGTCCCACATTCACCATATTGTTATTCACTTGTCTTTTGTATGTGTTTTTTTTGTTTGTTTTTGCTGTGGCTGTGAAAATAGCCATCATCTTCTAAAGTGCTATTATATAATCAAATTATAGGGAAGAAAACTTAAAATTAAAAAATATGAAGAAATTAAGTAGTTAACTTGTTGATATGCAAATTTTGGTAAATTACAAAATTTGTCCCTATAGATTATGTGTTTTCACAGGAACAGAGCTCTAAATTGATTGCTCTTATTGAAGGATCCAGCTTATAGGAGAATTTCTAAATAAAAACAATGTGCCATAAGAGATCTTGAAATGTTTGGATTTTTATGCATACCTGTTTGGTGTATAGTATAAAGATTTTGCAATTTAAAATTATGAAAGGAAGAAGGGTACAAGTTGAGCATCCCAAATCTGAAAATCTGAAATCCAAAATGCACCAAAATATGAAACTTTTTGAGTACTGATAGGATGCTCAAAGGAAATTTGCATTTTGAATTTTGGATTTTCAGATTGAGGATGCTCATCCGGTAAATACAATGCAAATAATCCAAAATCTGAAAATAATATGAAACCTGAAACACTTCTAGTCCCCAGAATTTTGGATGAGGGATACTCAATTTTGGATAAGAGATATCTTATGTCAGTATACAATTGACAGTATTCCTATCTTGCAATGTTCTGAGTGAACTTGTCTTGGCTTCAGGGGCTTTACAATTCTAGTAACTACAATGTCTAGTTCATTATGTATTTTTGTTAAAAATGCTAAATAAAATGCCATTATCTTCAGTTTGCATAATATTTATTTGTCATTTAAAAACTCTAGTTTTACATAATAATTTAAAAATGAGACTATTAATCCACATGCTGGTTCACTGCAGATTGTCCACCTACAGGAGTGTCATAGTCTGTTTCGTGCTGCTATAATAGAATACATGAGACTGATTGATTTATAATTAATAGAAATTTATCGGCTCATGATTTTGGAGGCTGAGAAGTCCATGATCAAGGCACTGGCATCTGGCAAGGGCCTTTTTGTTGGGTCATTCCATGGCAGAAGACAGAGGGGAAGAGGGTGAGGGTGAGGGAGAGGGGGAGAGAGAGAGAGAGAGAGAGGAAAAAAGAAAGCAGAGGGTGGCAAACTTGTCCTTTTATAAAGAACCCACTCTTATGGCCGGGCGCAGTGGCTCACGCCTGTAATCTCAGCACTTTGGTAGGCTGAGGCGGGTGGATCACCTGAGGTCGGGAGTTCGAGACCAGCCTGACCAACATGGAGAAACCCCATCTCTATTAAAAATACAAAATTAGTCGGGCGTAGTGCTGCATGCCTGTAATCCCAGCTACTTGGGAGGCTGAGGTAGGAGAATCACTTGAACCCAGGAGGCGGAGGTTGCGGTGAGCTGAGATTGCCCCATAGCACTCCAGCCTGGGCAACAAGAGCGAAACTCCGTCTCAAAAGAAAAGAAGAAAAAAAAAGAAAAGAATCCACTCTTGAGATAGCAAGTATTCTCTCTCAAGATAATGACATTGATCAATTCATGAGGGTGGAGCCCTCATGACCTAATCACCACCTCTTATTAGGCGCCACTCCCTAGCAGTGTTGCATTGAAGATTGTTTCTATTACATGCTTTTGGGGAAACACATTCAAACCATAGCAGGGAGATTAGCAAAGACGACTGCCTAGCTTTGTTTGTAGTCTTATTTCACATTATTTTCTTGTAATGAATGGATGATAAAAATAACATTGAATTATGTACACATACTTAATTCAAAATATATAAGATAGAACACTTTATAAAACTTCAGCCACAATTTAAAAAAATCAAGTTATATTTCATATTGAGAAAATCTGCTCAAAGAAAACTAAATGTGTCTAGATGAGGCAGATAATTGGTGAGGTAACTGAAGAGGTAATATTTATTCTTCTTTTCCTTCATAATTTCATTGAACCCTCAAAGAGAAAAAAGTTAATATGTTAATGAACTCACTGTAAAAAATTTCAGCATATGTATTTCTCTATATAATCACTAAAGAACTACATATCACTATATATCACTATAGAAATCACTATAATCACTATAAAATTAACAGAAAAACCCAAGTAACAATTCCTTTATTTTTTTTACAGCGACTTCAAACCATAAATAGCCATGATAAAACACTATCCTTTTTGACATGAATACAGTATTTTTCATTCTTTTTTCTTCTTAGAATTCCATTTATTTCAGAGTCATTATGGAGCAAGCACTACAAGTACAAACAAAGAAATATAAGATTCTACATTATTTTGGTCCAAACATGCGTATTTCAGGAATGCTGAATTTATCAGTAACCATTTCCACACAGGAAAGGTATGTTAAGTTATAATTTTAAAGCTTACCTCATTTCAAATTTACAGCCTGAGGTTTGATGTGAAATTGCAGAATGAACAAAAGCATAATCTGGGGGTATATATGACACAAAAGAAAGCAGGTAATTAAAAAGGAATTTGTAACATCCACATAGAAATATATTGTCGTGGATATTTAATCATTAGTCTACTGTGTTTTAAACTAAGCAGAAGCAATACTGTAGAGTATTAACCATTCAATTTGCACAGCAGTACGTCTGCATGAATTTATTTAGCAAAGCCACTTTCATTATTTTGACACATTAGAAAAAAATGGTTCTGTCTAATTGGCCTTCAAACTCCCACTTCTACCAGGTTGGTGTGTTAGTCTATTATTATTTCACATGATATGTGCTATGTGGCACTCAGCGAACACAGCCTAGTTTCAGATCTGCTAACGAAGTTCATTGTGCCATCCATGTATTCCCTTTAATCGCATTCCTCTCCTTCTTTGGCGTGATTATAAAAGCATACATCTTCAAAGGAAGTAAAGAAAGACATTAAATCTCAAGTAGTGTTCTCTATATAAACCCAGGTGGAATTGCACTGTTTGAACAGCTGATGCAGTTTTGAAGACTGAATTGAGAGGCAAAAGCACACCGTGTCTTCATTTCATTACCTGCAAGTAGTTTTATTAGTCTATTACTGAGAATTGTCCAATACTCATATTCTATTAAAAGTCAGAATGAATTAAAATGATTTCATAGGAAAAATAATCTAAAAAACATGTAATCTTTGTCCTATGACCACATGACAGCTTCACTTGTATATCAACAGATGCTTTAAAGAGCCTGTTAGGTGATCCCACTGCAAAGCATTTTCTATATTCCAAGCACTATTTCCTATTTCTCTTTTCTTTTCAAACTTCTTTCAGGTCCTTACTGTTTCCTTAATCTTATTTATTATCTTGCATTATATTTGATTTTTCCAATGGGAAACACTCATTTAGGAACTCTGAATTCCTCCCTTCCTAAGTAAGAACCTATCTACATCTGTACATAAGTACCCTGCCTTCTCCAGTATTATGGATTGTCACCCTGCTTTTATCAAAGGCTGACTTTAACTGCCCTGCTTTAGTTCTGGAACCCATCCCCTCTTACCACCTCAGCAACTTTGTTTCTATAATTACTTTCTTCCTGCCATCATCAGTTTCTTCCTATCCATTGTGCTATTTCTCTCAGCATACAAACATGTTTTAGTATCACTTAAAACAAGTAAACCCCTCTGAGGCTCATCCTCTCCAACTGCCTCACCTTTACTCCTCTTCATAACAAAACATCCTCCTATGGTTACTGTCTCCACATCATTTTTAAAAAATTATTTAACGTAATTTAATTACTTACTTAATTAATTAATTAATTTTGAGACAGGGTCTCGCTCCATCGCCCAGGCTGGAGTGCAGCGGCATCATCACTGCTCACTGCAACCTCCTCCTCCAGGGCTCACATGATCCTCCCATGTCGGCCTCCTGAGTAGCTGGAACTGCAGGTGCACACATCACCATGCCCAGCTAATTTTTATATTTTTTTATATTTTTTGTAGAGATGGGGTTTTGCCATGTTGCCCAGGCTGGTATCCAACTCCTGGGCTCAAGTTATCTGTCTGTCTGGGCCTTTCAAAGTGCTAGAATTACAGGCATGAGCCACTATGCCTAACTCCACATCATTTATTATTTGCATTTTGCTGTTTTTACTTCTCTTAATTCTGACTCACTTTTTCTTCAGAGATGTTTCAAAACAGACGTCAGACATCATATCTGTTTGTTCATAAATACTTCATATGTATCCCCCCAGTAAAGCCATTTAAAAATAACTACAATATTATTACTACACCAAAATAACAGTAATCCTGAATAAGCTAATATGCAATTAATTCAATATTTCTTAATTGTCTTAAAAATATAGTGTTCTGATGTACGTTATTTGGGTGATGGAGACCCTAAGAGACCTGTCTTCACCACTACACAATCTATGCATGTAAAAAAATTACGCTTGGCTGGGCGCGGTGGCTCACGCCTGCTATCCCAGCACTTTGGGAGGCCGAGGTGGGCAGATCATGAGGTCAGGAGTTTGAGACCAGCCTGACCAACATGGTGAAACCCCGTCTCTACTAAAAATACAAAAATTAGCTGGGCGTGGTGGTGCACGCCCGTAATCCCAGCTCAGCTACTCAGGAGGCTGAGGCAGAAGAATCACTTGAACCCAGGAGGCAGAGGTTGCAGTGAGCCGAGATCGTGCCACTGCACTCCAGCCTGGGTGACATAGCAAGACTTTGTCTCAAAAAAAAAAAAAAATTACACTCATACCCCTCACATTTATATAAACAAGAAAAGTACACAGTTCCATTACCCTTTTAAAATGCCACTTATTTGTTGAAGCAACTGAATCATGTCTCCCATGGAATTTGGCTGATTATTACATCTTCTTCGTGTCATTTAACATGTCTTTCTATCCCCCATGTCTCCTGAGAGCTGAGAGTTAGATCTAGTGACTTAATTAGATTAATATTTGACTTTCTTTTGGGCTGAAATGCCAATATTGGCTTGTCAGTAACATTGCCCAAAAGCTCTATAAAAAAATCTTCATTTTACCCCCAGTTTTCCACTTTAAAAATTTATTTTTGAGGCTCTAACAGTAACACTCTACCTCATTTATTTTTTCATGTTCAACAGATAACTTCTGTGCTACTTCAAAATGAAAACCGATTGACAAAAATTCCTCAACATCCTACCAGTGAGTTAATAAATCTGCCCCCATAAACACCTGTGCTTTTGTTAAAATTGAAATAATAGTTTTTCCTATATAAGACTCATTTCTCCCTTCTCAGGGGAATTACTTCATTGATTTCTCTCTTCTAGGTCAACCTATTTTTCTTTCTGCTTTTACCTCATTAGCATTTTAACATGCTCTCATTTAAAAAATGATCAAAGAACTCCCTTTTAGTCCTTCAACCTTCTCCAGCTATCTCTTTCATTCTGATTCATGGCAAAACACTTTGAAGAAATTTTCTACACTCATCATGAATTCTTTCTTACCTCCCACTCACTTCTCAACCCATTGCAATCTGGCTTCTTCCCACCAACAATTCCATTGAAATGACAGTTGCCAAGGAAATCAGCAATTTCCACATCAGTAAATCAAATGAGCACTTTTCAGTTCTTATCTCGGTTTATCGGCTGGAAGTATTTGACAGACTTATGACTCTTCTTTTCTTGTAAAGTTTCTCTGTTTTGTTAGAAGATAAGATAATCTTGGCATACCCAAAACCAATAAAACAAACAAAACCCAGCACTCTCAGCTATATAGGGAGCTACCCCAAAATGCATGATTTTACCATTTGCCACTTCTATTGGAGTGCCATAATTACCGTATGAGGATCTCTAAATGAATACTTTTGAATGTAGTATGGTCATAGATCCAAGACTTGTTCTGCCTCTATCTTTTATAATTTCAACTTTTGCTATAAATACTCAGACTAATTCCTAATGTCCACTTTCTTCATACAGAGGGTTTTAATCAGATAGTCAACTGCTTAGGAGGAGAGTCACTGTATTTAAAAGAACTATATTCTTTTATTTTACTCTGGGCAGACAAGATCTTAGATTTTCTGTCCTTAAAAGCCAGTTAATTAAGACAGTGAATAGAGTATAGAAATGGAATTTTTGACCACTATATCTAAGAAATGTTTACGCAGTTGATAAGGCAATATTGTTTTCTAAATACTTGAGCACCACGGAATGAATTAAGAATGAATTAGAAAAATGAATACCAGGGCTAGATAGCTCCTGTTGGACAAGCCACTTTTATATTAAAATAATTAGCTACATTCTCATAATTCTATTATATACATTAGAGCAGCCTGATTCTTATTGCTCATTTGTAAGTAAAACATTTTGTAGCCAAAGAAAGTAATTAATTAATTAAAAATTCATATTGAGTAAAACTTTTCAATAAAAATACCTTGTGATTTCTCTGAGGCTGAGGCAGGAGGATCACTTGAGTCCAGGAGTTCAAGGCTGTACTGCACGATGATCACGCCTGTGAACAGCTAGTGCTTTCCAGCCTGGACAACATAATGGGAAGTTGTCTCTGAAAGAAAAAGAAAAAAGCATGGTAAAATGTGAGGCACAGATTGGAAGGAAATATTTATAGTATATGTATCTGGTGAAAGATTGGTAATTAGAAGATATAGAATATACAAAGAACTCTTACAGTTCATTATTAAGAAGGCAAACAATCAAAAAATCATTAGACAAGGGATATAAAGACATTTCAAAAGAGAAGACACAAAAATCACTAAATAGGCACATGAAAAGATATTTAATATCAATAATCAGAGAAAACAAATTAAAACAATGAAGACATACCAGTGCACACCCACAAAAACAGTTAACATTAAAATGACTGAAAATACTAAGAGATGGCAAGAATATATAGAGACTGGAAATCTCATACATTGTTGGTTGGAATGCATCTTTCAAACACTGTTGCTGGGAATGCAAAATGGTGACCAATTTGAAAAACAATTCAGGATTTTTTGTATACATGAAGCATAAATTTAACATACAATTGAGCAATTATACTAGCATATATTTATTCAAGAGAAACAAAAACGTATGTTCACACAAATACTTTTACAGAACTATTTATATCACCTTATTCATAAAAGCCACAAACTGGAAAGAATGCAAACATCCCTCAGTACGTGAATGGATAAACTGTAGTACATCCAAGCAATAAAATACTACTTGGTGACAAAAAGACATAAACTACTGTTGCACACAACAACATAAACGCATCTGAATACCATTATGATAATTGAAAAAAAGTCAGACACAGAAGATTATATACCATATGATTCCATTATATGAAATTCTGGAAAAGACAAAACCAACCTATAGAACAGAAAACATCACATTAGTTAGCTGGGGCCAGGTGTAAAGGATTGACTTCAAAACTGTGCAAGGAAAATTTTGGGGGTGATGTAATATCCCATATCTTGATTGTGATACAACAGGAGTGTGTAGAGAATCAAAAACACTTAAAAAACGGATGCCAGTTATTGTGTGTAAACTATGCAATAAAGTTGACATATAGTATACAACAACGTAAAAAGAATGAAATTATAAGCCAAACTATAGAATACATTTTCTATGCACAAACTGATAAAAGTTAATATTCAGTATGAATAAAATGCCTACAAATCTATAAAGAAAAATATAACCCAATAGAAAATGGGCAAAAGAAGTGGATAGACATTTTCTAGAAGAGAAAACAAGAACTACCAAAAACAGGTTGATTAATGGACAACCTCAGTAATTAGACAATGACGTATTGTTTATACCATGCTAGACTGGCAAAAATTCAAAACAACGGGACACCTCATACACTGCTGATGGAAGAGTAAACTGGTGAAACAACTTTGCAAAATAATTTGGTACTATCTTATTAATTGAACATGTTTATAGCCTATGAACTTCACTCGTAAGTATGCACCATAGAGGAACTCAGGCACAGGTATAAAAATGTTCACAGAAGCATTGTTTGTAACAACAAAAACCTGAAAAGAATACAAACGTTTACTGAAAAAAAATAAATAAAGTTGGGTATATTTATAATGAGAGTCTAAAACAGTGACAATGAATAAACTATAACTGTATATCTCAATATAAATGAATTTTAGAACATTTTGAATACAAAATCACAGAAGATAAACTATAAATCAAAAAAATTTTTAAAGAAATAAATTCTTAGTAAATCTATAATGCAAAACAAAGGAATCTTAAAAAAATTTTAAAAGTGGTATCTTTTGTGGGAAAGCTGGAGCTTGAAATTTGGTGATTCTTGATAATATTCAAATTACATTTTGTCTGTGTTTTTACATGAGTGTTTTGTTTTCTTCTTATATTTTATGTTGTCCATTTGTCATATTTTTATTATCTTTCAAATATTCCATTACAAAAGTTAAAAAATGGAAAAGCAATCAACCCATACATTTTTCTTGACATTTTTTCTCTCCATTTTACTCTTGACTTCCTTAAAATATAATAATACATCTAACATATTTTTAAAATAGATTCTTCTTCTAGATAGTCCTTTTGTATTTTTCAAATTGGATACCATACCCTTTCCTTAGGAAAGCCATTTTTGACAATTCAGATTATGTTCTCATGCTGTCTACTTCTTATAATTTTATCATCCTCTATTATAATTGCAAATCCATTAGTGAATAGCCTACTCCATATACTTTTCTTGGGAAAAAAGAATCATTTTGTTTAGCTTTTCATTGAACTCTGTTGTTTAGGCTAGTGGCACACAATGAACATTTCTTTGATATGTACTGTACATATGGTAAATACTAGCCATATGTGGCCATTGAGCCTTTGAAATGTGGCTAGTGAAACTGAAGAAGTAAATTTTTAATTTTTTTAATTGATTTTATTTAAATTGATGGAAATCCATTTAAATTTCAATAGCCATATGTGCTACTGTACTGGACAGTGCTGGTGTAAATAATGGCATCTTGTATTGAATTGACTGCAACATAAAACTCTGTGGATATTTAAAAATGTAAAATGGATAAAATGTATAAATAAAGAAATAAATAAATTACATTTACCATGTATTTGTTTTTCAATTTTCTTATAGAACTGAGGAATTTTTTGACAGATCAGTTAGTGATTCTGGACTCTTTTATTACATACTCACTTTGTAAAGAGGTAAAAGAAATTCCTAAGTTATTTCCTTTGATGGTACTTTATTCTATCAGAATATGTAAGAAAGCTTATTAAACTACTCATCAGAATGAATGCAAATATCAGTAGTATACTTTTAGCAAACCTTATATTGGCCGAAGTTACCAAATATACCATAATGGTAGCTCTTCCACCTAAAACTGAACACTAAGTAGTTGACATATGTTCTGAGTTTGTGATAATTACGTATTTTTTGCTTGAAAGTGACAGAGGCCGGGCGTGGCGGCTCACGCCTGTAATCCCAGCACTTTGGGAGGCTGAGGCGGGCGGATCACGAGGTCAGGAGATCTAGACCATCCCGGCTAACACGGTGAAACCCCGTCTCTACTAAAAATACAAAAAATTAGCCGGGCGTGGTGGCGGGCGCCTGTAGTCCCAGCTACTGGACAGGCTGAGGCAGGAGAATGGCCTGAACCCGGGAGGCGGAGCTTGCAGTGAGCCGAGATCGCACTGCTGCTCTCCAGCCTGGGCGACAGAGTGAGACTCCGTCTCACAAAAAAAAAAAAAAAAAAAAAAAAAAAGAAAGTGACAGAAACCCCAATTCAAAATGACTTACGGAAAAAAGAAAAATTGGCTTACACGACTGAAATGTTCATAGGTAAAGCTTCACGTGGGGTTGAAGAGCTCACATTTGCGATCTGTCTTGGGTTGTGTTTCCTCTGAGTGAGCGCCATTCTCAGACACAGGGTGGGTGTCTTTGGTAGCTTCTGCTCCTTGTTATTCAATGCCCCTGTCCTATGGACAAGAAGTGGCATTTTTTCCCATTGTTTTAATAAAGGCCCTGAATTTACTCTGATTTGATTGTGTAGTCGGATACCAACCTGAATTAATCCCAAGGACCAGTGGAATATGGTGGTGTTTTGACAGAATATTAGAGATCACTTCTTTGAGAAACATTTGGACTGAGTGTAGAGAACAGGGTGTTTCCCAGAGAAAAATTAGGATATGGTTACTAAAGACGGGAAACTTACAATGAGAGGCTGAAAAACCTTAAACGTTCATTCCAGAGTTGTTCTGAATCATTCGAGCTCTTCGATTGTCTTGAAATATTAGGATTTACAAACTTCTGGCTAAGCAAGAGCTTGCCTTTTAGTGTCATTCAGAGTAACCAAAATAATATCATGATGCTGTGTATTCCATTAATTCTAAAATTGCTTAGGAATTGTACAGAAGTTCTAAGTTTACTTAGAATTCATGAAATAATTCTGATATAAAAGGGATATAACTGATATATCTCTTTCAAAGAATATTGATACTTCTGTTGGTTTTTCAATGGTGTTGTTACACCCTGTGCTTTACCAGAACATATTTGCCTCCTTATGAATAAAATCATGCCATGCAAAAACCCTTAGCTCTGGGATGGATTATTTAACTGATCTATTTTCTTGAAGTGGAAACTGAAACCAATATGGCCTAAATGGTTCCTTAATGTCATTTAATGGCCAAACTGGAAATAAAAATCATTCATTTCCTATAGTAGTACACTTCAAGAATCTCCAAACAAGTGGCAATTCTCATATATATTTCTGAAGAAAAAGATGTAATCTGCTAAACTTATTTAAGTTTGTTAATAATATTCATGCATCTTGAGGTGGGGGCCAGGGGGAATAGATTAAATACAAATAAAAGCAACAGGAAGTGGAAGGACAGAAAAATCCTCATGTAAATGTAACAAAAGGTCCAGTGTTTGAAATTTGAAAGTGAATTGTATGTCACATGAAATAGAGGGTCACATATTGAAATGACAGAGACTAGTGTACTTTGTGTCCTGATGGATAGTAGTAATGACATATAAGTAAGTGACACTCTCCATTCATGTGTTGCTCTGAATTTTAAAATCAACATCAATAGCATATCACATGAAGGCTATAAAGTTGCATGTGTTCCTTTCTTATTGATTTTTATGTTAGGCACAGAATAACACATGGTGAAAGGGGAATTGTTATATTATCGTTTTCTTGTTTACTTACCCTAAGGTCTCTTTATAGTACAGACTTTCCTTACAAATACATTTCTCTGAGTCATTTGTATAAATATGCTTTACTACGTTGTATAAAAGATGTCTTTTTTCAGGTTTTTCTTTGAGGCTTATTTTCTTTCAGGTATTTGTTTCTTTTAGATACCGGGGAAATTCTCAAAATCAATGATATTCCATTGTAAGACAAAAGTACAAAAATATTTTAGTATGATTTAAGAACCCAGTGGTTACTTTTAGGCACAGCATAGGGCCACTTTTGATCTAGCCATGTAAAAATTCAGACATATTCCATCACTTATTTCTATATTTCCTGTCATTCAATCATACTGAACTACTATTATTATTTAGTAAATGGCACTTTGATAAACACTGCTAGATACTGTGCTAAGAACTTTACATACATAAGAAAATTCACACAACTCCATGGAAGAGATATTATTATTTAATCTTTATTTTGCTGCAGAGAAAACAGAAGCTTAGAAAGAAAAAGTGAAGTTTTCAGAGTCACCATAGGTAGCAGAAGCAAGGAGTCCAATCTCTACATGATCTCAACTCTATATTCTCACACTCAGTGCCATAGATAATGCCTCCTACTCGCTTCTCATAAACCACATTATTTAACACCTCCATTCTTCTTGAACTCAACTTCCATTGGTAGAAATGGCCTTAACATTTTCATCCATCAGAAAAACTCCTGTACATCCTTTCACTGAAGTCTCAGATCAAACATCAGCCTTTTGTGTCCCTCTGGTCTCCACCATAAAAATTATCACAGGGCATTGTAATTGTTTGTTTTCTAAAATAACATCTCTCAGGCTGTGAATTCCTTGAGAGTGGCGATCAGGTGTTGTAAGTCTTTGACCCTGCAGTCTATCACAGAGTTTAGCTGTAGAAAAGAGATTATGATATATACTTACAAGCACACTCCATCATTATATATCTGTATCTCTCTGACACTACAACCCTACTGTGTAAGAAATAGCTGGCACACTTTATAAGGAAAACATCTTATTGTTAACTCAATAAGCACATAATAAAAATACTGAAGAATGCAAAAATCAGGGATTTTAAAAAAATTATTTTCCTTTTTAACTTTAGGTGCAAAAAATGTAATTCCAACCTTATTGAATCCAAAATGTTGGAGATTTGAGAGCAGCTTTTGCTACGATATCAAACTGATCCCTGCTGGAAAGAGAATCTGGAAAAGGCAGAGAGTTCCATACTCCAACTGCTTTCTTTCTTGCCTCTTCCTCACCCTGTAAATCTAATACTCTGCCTTCAGCCTGGGTTGGCAATAAATCACTACTTGATTCAGTTCCCTGGGAAGAATGACAAGGGAGTGGTGCCCATGGGGTTTCGGTTCCTCAGGATGAGGTCTGAAGGAACAGAAACCCCTATGGTTGTTAAGGCTCTAGATGACATATAAAAAAATAAAATCATACTATTCACACTGGGAAGATTAATCTCCTGTTAATATATGTTTTGTAAATTATGTGAAAAGGTTGCCCATAGCTAGCCAAGGTTTTACTCAAGGCTGCCTTTTATATTAGTGTTTGTGCATGTCAGGCTCCAGAATGTGGGAGGTGGAAGTAGGAGATAAGAAAGTAAATTTCCACATTCTTATAAAATATTAATCCTTTACATGATAAGCCCTTTCCACTTCATATGTAGGGAATAAGAAGCCATTGGAAGCCCGGGCATGGTGGCTCATGCCTGTAATCACAGCACTTTGGGAGGTCGAGGTGGGCGGATCATCTGAGGTCGGGAGATTGAGACCAGCCTGACCAACATGGAGAAACCCAGTCTCTACTACAAATACAAAACTAGCTGGGCATGGTGGTGCATGTCTGTAATCCCAGCTAATCAGGATGCTGAGGCAGGAGAATCACTTGAACCCAGGAGGCGGAGGTTGCGGTGAGCTGAGATCCTGCCATGGCACTCCAGTCTGGGCAATAAGAGTGAAACTGTGCTAAAAACAAACAAACAAACAAAAAAAAACCCAAAAAGCCATTGGAAGTGCAGGCAGGCAAGTAACTTGACCAGGTGTGTGTTTTAGAGACATCTGTCTAGCAACAGTACAGTCAGTGGAGATGGTCAAGACTGTAAACAGGGAGACTGCTAGGAGGCAATTATAATTATTTGATAATAAAGATGAACAGCAGGTGTTAATGAGGGGCAGTAACTTTTTAATATACATAAATACAATCTGTAGGATAAAATAAAAGTGATAAAAATAATTTCCAGATATTCTGGAATAAGTATCTAGGTGTAGGGTGCTAAACTTGAGGCTGACCATAGAGGAGCAGGTTTGGAGACAGATTTCACATTCAGATTTGTTCTTTTTAAGTTTTAAGGACTTCTAAATCACCCAGGATAATTTGTCCAGAAGACATATAGATTTTAGAAATATAGGTAGTAGCACAGTAATACTTCCAGACACAAAATGTAACCTCCTTATTTTTTGTAATTTCTACTATTATATTTTTTCTCTCCCTATCCCAAATTAACAAATAATGCCTGTTATAGTTTTAAAATATTTGATGTTATGAAGAAATCTACCATCTACCATTTTATTTTCAACACAATCCTGGCTTATAGTTATCCTGGCTGAATGTATGACTCTGTGGTATAATTTTTAATCAATAATTAATCAATACTTTCAAGGAATCAAGATATATGAACATTAAATACTAGATGGAGGGGGACAATCACAACATACAAGAGAAGTTATGATTTGACAAACGAGATAATATTTAGTTGGGCTTTGAACAATAAGTTGGTTCTGAAATGGGCATACTGAAGCAGAAAAAAAAATTAAAGCTTGGAAACTTGACATGAGAACACAAATTTTACATAAATATTACAGTTCTATCACTGGTCTGTTCATGTTAAAAAGGAAAAAAATTCTGATCAAATATTATTTCTTTGTACTATTAAGAATCACCAATCTGGATTAAAGGAAAATGTAACTGCTATAGATTTAAAATTACTTCTGGGCCCCAAATTACATTCAATAGAAGATTCATGGTATGTGTGTGTTTGTTTTTAAATAATTCCAACTTGTATTTTAGATTCACGGGTACATTTGCCAGTTTGTTACATGGGTATACTGTATGATGCTGAGGTTTGGGGAACAATTGATCCTGTCACCTAGATACTGATCATAGTACCCAATAGGTAGTTTTGCAACCCTTGGCCCCCTCACTTCTTCCTCCTTCTAGTAGTCTCCAGTGTCTACTGTTGCCATCTTTATGTTCATGTGTACCCAATATTGAGCTCCCACTTACAAGTGAGAACATGTAGTATTTGGCTTTCTGTTCCTACAGTAATTTGCTTAGGATAATGGCCTCCAGCTGCACTGATGTTGCTGCAAAGGACGTGATTTTATTTTCTTATGACTGCATAGTATTCCATGGTGTATATGTACCTCATTTTCTTTGTCCAATCACAGTTGCTGCACACCTAAGTTGATTCCATGCCTTTACTATTGTGAATAGTGCTACAATGAATATATGAGTCCATGTGTCTTTTTGGTAGAACAATTTATTTTCCTTTGGGTATGTTACCAGTAAGGGATTGCTGGATTGAATGGTAGTTCTAATGTAAGCTCTTCAAGAAATCTCCAAAGGGGCTTCACCCATTTATGTTCCCATCAACATAGTATAAGCATTCGCTTTTCTCTGCAGCCTCACCAACATCTGCTGTTGTTTGACTTTTTAATAATAGCCAGTCTGACTGATGTGAGATAGTATTTCATTGTAGCTTTGATTTTCATTTATCTGATAATTAGTGATGTTGAGTATTTTTTCACATGTTTGTTGGCTGCTTATATGTCTTCTTTAGAGAAGTATCTGTTCATGTCTTTTGCCCATTTTTAAATGGGGTTATTTGGTTTTTACTTGTTGAGTTGCTTAAATTCTTTGTAGATTCTGTATATTAAACCTTTGTCAGATGCATAGTTTGCAAATATTTTCTTCCATTCTGTAGTTTGTTTGTGTATTCTGTTAATAGTTTCTTTTGCTTTGCAGAAGCTCTTTAGTTTAATTGGGCCTCACTTGTCAATTTCTAGTCAAAAATTATTTGCCAAAGCTGATGTCCAGTGTGGTGTTTCCTAGGTGTTCTTTTAGGATTCTCATACTTTGAGGTCTTACATTTAAATCTTTAATTCCTCTTGAGTTAATTTTTGCTTATGGCGAAAGGTTGGAGTCCAGTTGCTTTCTTTCTGATATGGCTAGCCAGTGATCCCATTTATTGAATAGGGAATCCTTTCTCCATTGATTTTTTTGTTCACTTCGTCAAAGATCAGATGACTGTAGGTGTGTGGCTTTATTTCTGGGTTCTCTATTCTGTTTTATTACTCTATATGTCTGTTTTTGTACCTGTACCATGCTGTTTTAGTTACCATAGCCTTATAGTATAATTTGAAGTCAAGCAAAGTGATGCCTCTAGTGTTATTCTTTTTTCTTAGGATTGCTTTGACTATTTAGGCTCTTCTTTGGTTCCATAGGAACTTTAGAATAGTCTCTTTCTAATTCTGTGAGAAATGACATTGATAGTTTGATAGGAATAGTGCTGAATCTGGAGATTCCTTTGGGCATTATGGCCATTTTAACAATATTCATTCTTCCAGTCCATAGCATGGGATGTTTTTCCATTTTTGTGTGTGTCATCTATGATTTCTTTCAGTAGTGTTTTATAGTTCTTGTAGAGATCTTTCACCTCCTTAGTTAGACGTCTTCCTAGGTATATTATTTTATTTTATTTTATTATTTTATTGTGGCTATTGTAAATGAGATTGTGTTCTTGATGTAGCGCTCATGTTGAACGTTATTGGTGTACAGAAATGCTACTGAGTTTTGTACATTGATTTTGTCTCCTGAAACTTTACTGAAGTTGTCTATCAGTTCTACAAGCCGTTTGGTGGCATCTTTAGGGTTTTCTAGGTATAGAATCATATTGTCCACGAAGAGAGATTTGACTTCTTCTTTTCCTATTTAGATGCCTTTTATTTCTTTCTATTGCCTGATTTCTCTGGCTAAGACTTTTAGTACTATGTTGAATAAATAGGAATGGTGAGAATGGGAATTCTTGTCTTGTTCCAATTTTCTTTTTTTTTTTTTGAGACAGAGTCTCACTCTGTCACCCAGGCTGGAGTGCAGTGGCGTGATCTCGGCTCACTGTAAGCTCTGCCTCCTGGGATCATGCCATCCTCCTGCCTCAGCCTCCCGAGTAGCTGGGACTACAGGCACATGCTGCCACACTCGGCTAATTTTTTTTTTTTTTTTTTTTTTTTTAGTAGAGAGGGGGTTTCACCATGTTAGCCAGTATGGTCTCGATCTCCTGACCTTGTGATCCACCTGCTTCGGCCTCCCAAAGTGCTGGGATTACAGGCATGAGCCACCGCACCTGGCCTTGTTCCTATTCTTAAATGGAATATTTTCAGCTTTTGCCTGTTCAGTATAATGTTGGCTGTGGGCTTTTCACAGATAGCTCTTATTTTGTTGAGGTATGTTCCTTTGATGCCTAGTTTCTTCAGGGTTTCTATCATGAAAGGATACATGATATTTTTTCAAAAACTTTTCCATATCTATTGAGATGATCATATAGTTTTTGTTTTTAACTCTGTTTATGTGGTGAATCACATTTATTGATTTGCATATGTTGAAGGAAACTTATGTCCTAAGAATAAAGCCTATTTGTTCATGATGAATCAACTCTTTAATGTGCTGCTGAATTTGGTTTGCTAGTATTTTGTTGGGGATTTTTGTGTTTATTTTAATCAAAGATATTGGCATGTTGTTTTCTTTTTCCCTTGTGTCATTACCAGGTTTTAGTATCAGGGTGATACTGGACTCATAGGATGAATTAGGGAGAAGTCCTTCTTCCTAGAATTTTTGGAATAGCTTCATTATAATTGGTACTAGCTTTTCTTTGTATGCCCAGTAGAATTTGGCTGTGAATCCATTTGGCCCAGTGCCTTTTTTTGGTTGGTTGTTTTTTTCTGATTCAAGTTTGGAACTGGATATTTGTCTCTTTTGGGTTGCAATTTCTTCCTGTTTTAATCTTTGTAGGTCATGTGTTTCCAGGAGTTTTCCATTCCCTCTAGATTTTCTAGTTTTTGTGCAGAGAAGTAAACAACCTGGAAAACATATTTGAGAGAATCATTCAAGAAAATTTCCCTAATTTTGTTGCAGGAGTAGACATCCAGATACAAGAAATCAGAGAACACCTGCAAGATACTATACAAAATGAATATCACCATGACATACAGTCACCGGACTGTCCAAGATCAATGATAACAAAAAAAAAATCTTAAAGGCAGCTACAGGAAAAAGGTTAGATCATGTACAAAGAGAACTCTATCAGGGTAACAGTAGATTTCTCAGTAGAAACCTTACAAGCCAGGAGAGGTTGCACCTGTTTTCAGCATTATTAAAGAAAGGAAAGTCCAACCACAAATTTTACATTCTGCCAATTTAAGCTTCGTGAGTGAAGGAGAAATACAAACTTTTCCAGACAAGCAAGTGCTAAGGGAATTTGTTACCACTAGACCAGCCTTATAAGAGATCCTTAAGGGAGCTGTAAACATGGAAATAACAGAATGATACCTGCTATCACAAAAACACATATAAGTACATATCCCACAGATTCCATAAAGCAACCCTCTAGTAACTTGACAATACAATCAAAACCTCACATATCAATATTCATCTTGAACATAAATGGTATAAATGCCCCCACCCCCGCTCCAAAAGACACAGAGGTTAGCTGCGGTGGCTCATGCCTGCAAACCCAACACTTTGGGAGGCCGAGGTGGGAGGATCACTTGAGCTCAGGAGTTCAAGACCAGCCTGAGCAAAATAATGAATCCTTATCATCTCTACCAAAAGTTTAAAAAAGAGCCAGGCATGGGAGCACATACCTGTTATCACAGCTACCTGGAAGACTGAGGCAGAAGGATTGCTTTTGCCCATGAGATTGAGACTACAGTGAGCTATGATTGTACCACTGCACTGAAGCCTGGGTAACATTTGACACCCTGTTTCAAAAAAAAACAAAAAAGAAAACCAAAAAACAAAAGACACAGAGTAGCAAGTTGGATAAAACAACAAGACTCATCCTTCTGCTGTCTTCAAGAGACCCATTTCACAAGTAACAACATCTATAGACTCAAAATAAAGGGTTGGAGAAAGATCTGTCACAAAAATGGAAATAAAAAATGAGCAGGGGTCATTATTCTTAAATCAGATAAAATAGACTTTAAACCAACAACAATGAAAAAGGCCAAAGAAGGATATTATACAATAATAAAGGATCCAATTCAACAAGAAGACTTAACTATCATAAATATTATGCATTCAACATTGGAGCACCCAGATTCATAAAACAAGTTCTTCTAGACCTATAAAAAGACTTAGCCGCACAATAATATGGGGAGAGTTCAACACCCCACTAATAGTGTTAGACAGATCATCTAGGCAGAAAACTAACAAAAATTGTGGACTTAAATTTGACACTTGACCAATTGGACCTAGTAGACATCTATACAATATTCCACCTGTCAACCACAGATTGTAATTTCTTCTCATCTGCCATTGGAACATACGCTGAGATCAACTAAGGCTTGGCCATAAAGCAAGTCTAAATAAGCTAAAAAAAAAAATTGAAATCTTACCAACCATAGTCTCAGACCACAGTGGAAAAAAAAGTAGAAATTAATACCAAAAAGATCTCTCAAAATCCACAATTACATGGAAATTAAACAATTTGCTCCTGAATGACTTTTGGGTAAACAAGAAAATAAAAGCAGAAATAAAAAATTTTAAAATAAATGAAAACACAAACAACAACAACAACAAAAAACAGGTGTTGCAGAGAAAAAGGAATGCTTATACACTGTTGGCTGGAGTGTAAATTAGCTCAATTATTGTGGAAAACAGTGTGGAGATTCCCCAAAAATCTAAAAACAGAACTACCATTCAACCCAGCAATCCCATTACTGGCTATATGCTCAAAGGAATATACATTGTTCCATCATAAAGACACATGCACATGTATGTTCATTGCAGCACTATTCACAATAGCAAAGACATGGAATAAACTTAAATGCCCATCAATGGTAGAATGGATAAAGAAAATGTAGTACATAGACACTATGGAATCCTATGCAGCCATAAAAAAGCACAAGATCATGTCCTTTTCAAAAACATGGATGGAACTGGAGACCATTATCCTTAGCATACTAACACAGGAACAGAAAACCAAATATTGCATGTTCTCACTTATAAGTGAGAGCTAAATGATGAGAACACATGGACACATAAAGGGGAACAACAGACACTAAGGACTATTGGAAGGTGAGAGAAGGGAGGGGATCAGGAAAAATAACTAATGGGTATTAGGCTTAATACTTAGGTGATGAAATCATCTTACAACAAAACTCCATGACACAAGTTTACCTATATAACAAACCTGCACATGTACCCTGGAACCTAAAATAAATGTTAAAAAAAAGAGAGAAAAGAAAACAGACACAACATACCAAAATCTCTGCAAGGCAACAAAAGTACTGTTAAGAGGGAATTTTATAGCACTGAACACCTAGCTCAAGAAGTTAGAAAGTTCTCAAATTAACAATCTACTATAACACCTAAAGGAACTAGAAAAACAAGAACAAACTAACCCCAACATTTGCAATAGAAAAGACATAAATGAGGCCAGCACGGTGGCTCACACCTGTAATCCCAGCACTTTGGGAGGCCCAGATGGGCAGATCACGAGGTTAGGAGATCGAGACCATCCTGGCTAACACAGTGAAACCCTGTCTCTACTAAAAATACAAAAAATTAGTGGGTCGTGGTGGTGGGCACCTGTGGTCCCAGCTACTAGGGAGGCTGAGGCAGGAGAATGGCATGAACCCGGGAGGCAGAGCTTGCAGTGAGCTGAGATTGTGCCACTGCACTTCAGCCTGGGCAACAGAGCGAGACTCCGTCTCAAAAAGAAAAAGATAAGACATAAACGAAATCTGAGCAGAAGTGAATGAAATTGAGACCCAAAATCCATACAAAGAATCATCAAACCAAAAGTTGGTTTTTTGAAAGGATGAACAAGATGGATTAAAAAAAAAATAGGAAAAAAAGAAAAAGAGAAAAGATCCGAATAAGCACAATCAGAAATAACAAAGGTGACATTACAATGATCCCACAGAAATACAAAAAATCCTCAGAGGCCAGTACGTGTTGTTTCACTATAAGGAAAAGGAATGCAGAGAAAAAAGCAAGAAATACTATAATTAGGCATAATATAGAGGACTGTCTGTAACTGGTTGATGTTAGCATCCACAAAAATAGATCATTGACTAGTACAACAATTTGCAGAAATAAATGAAGATTAAACCATGCAGGTTTGTAGCAAATCTTCCTTTGAAATTTTCATTTGAAGTAGATATTATGAAATTTCAATGCCTTGTCATGATGAGATACCTATTAAGATTAAGCATTGTCTATAATCAATAGATATGTTTATCTCAACAATGAAAATATTAATATAATATGGCATGGGCAAGCAGCATGTTTTATTTTTCTTTTTTTGAAACGGAGTCTCGCTCTGTCACCCAGCCTGGAGTACAGTGGCGCGATCTCCGCTCACGGCAAGCTCCGCCTCCTGGGTTCACGCCATTCTCCTGCCTCAGCCTCCCGAGTAGCTGGGACTACAGGCACCCGCCACCACACCCGGCTAATTTTTTTGGTATTTTTAGTAGAGACGGGGTTTCACCATGTTAGCCAGGATGGTCTCGATTTCCTGACCTCGTGATCCGCCCGCCTCAGCCTCCCAAAGTGCTGGGATTATAGGCGTGAGACGCCGGTTTTCTTTCTGAAAACAGAAGCCTGTGAGTTGTGTAAGTGAGTGAAATAAAAAATGCATTAAAGCAGGAAGAACACTGATATTCTGGCAGAATTTTTTAATCCCAATTTTAACTTTAAAACATTCGCAGTTTAAAATCATACACACAGACATGCATACATAATGTTAAAAAACATTATATTTTTAAAATGTGAGCTCCCCTTAGTATCATGTTTGTATTTTATTTAGTACCATTTCTGCGAACAAGATACTTTTGTATGGGCAATTTGATACATCATGCAAACAAAAGTAATTCTAGGCTTTTAAATAATAATTTATGCGGTTCTTGGTGATATAACAAACATTTATTAAATCTAATAGTTGTCATAAAAAATAGAAATACTTCTGTTATTGGAGTCCGACTTTAAAGTCTTTACCTCAAGATATTAAAAATAAAACTGTCACGTAATCACATCTGAGAATTTTTATTTTTTTTTCCTTGAAATTGTTATTAGATCTGGTTGTTTCTAAGAGGGAAAAGAAGCTGAAATGAGCTTCAAAGGACAGAACACTGTTGACGTGTATATAAGCATTGTATAGTCTCCCCCTGGCTTTTAAAAGAAATTTCAGAGACTGGTATTAATTCTTGACAGTTTTATTTCTAATATCATCTGGTTGACATAAAAGAGCCTCTGTCAATTTTTAAAATGGGCAGAACAGAATGGGAATAGAAAACCAGTGTAATATTATGAGTGAACTCTGATGCACCTGAAGTGGTAATCTGTTTTTCTTAATTAAAAGAAGGAAAATAAAACAACTTATACTATAAAACGCTGATATTTCAAATTCCCAATTAATAGTAAATACATATTTTAAACTCTTTTTTCTGTTGTACATAAAAAATGCAGTGTCTCTTGTTAGAAGCTTGTTTGTTGCTGAAACATTTTTTTTGGCACATTTTATTACATGAAACAATGCTCCTGACAGATTGCTTTCAGTTTCTCTGACATGCAAATAGAATCCATCTATAGTTTGCTCTTACACACTTTTTGCAAAGTCATTAAGAATAAGACAGGGTGGTCAGAGACACCTTTGGTTTGCAATGAATACTCAATGAAACAGTATGGGTAGGTCATTTAATATAGTTGTAATCGATTGCTGCTGTTGCCTTTCCGGCCAAGCTGTAGTGCAGGAACAGATTTTTAATTAAATAAATAGCTGGGTCGGCAGGCAGGTGCGCCCGGGCAAGCAACCTGCCCCGGGATTTGGTTTGCAGCAGTTGCTTGGCAACACAACACAGACGGTCTCTGAACAACAGCTGCACCCTCTGTTAGCAGCTAGCAGATGCTCACACCTCAGAGAATGGTGTCAGAAATAATGATTTGTGAGTAATAGTTTGTAGAGCTCTCTAATAAACAGAAATAAAATAGCCTGAATGATAAAGGTCAAAGATATTCCAGACTGTTATAATGAATATGAATTTGGATCCAGTGAAATTATCAGAAAAAGACAATGAAGATGAAATATTACTGATACACTGTAACTAAAAAAAGAAAAAAAGCAAAGAAACTTCTATTATATATGACACAAAGTCAGAGGTACTTTTACATTATTTCATTTAATTTTTCAAATAAATTTCTAAGTATTTCTATGTCTACTTTAGAAGATGAGACACTGAGTTTCAGAGAATTTAAATCATTTACAACTATAAATATAGTTTTCACTATTAATTTAGTATGCAAATTTAGGTAGAAATCAAAGATGGAATGTTTAACATATTACAAGAAAGAATATGTGTAATGTAATAACTGTTACTACTAGCAACTGGTAGCCATGTCAGTATAAAACTGTGTTCCTTATGTTGTTTCTATAGGATCATGCTTGAATTTAATATAACTAAAAGTTTGAGTAATTTGGTCTGTTGTTGTTAATTTAAAAATATCAAAAAAAGCAGGACTGGAAATTCTGGATCTCTGTAGTCACAAGAATGTATAATTAAGTTGTGACAAATCAGAACCTCCTACTACTTTATTCTTAACTGATTATCCCATGCCATGAACATATGGCCCCAATTTTAATGCTTCTTTTAGTACAAATTAAGGTGAATAAAGTCATTAGAATTATCTATTTGTGTTTTGGTAAAATAAAAATTGCTTTAATGTTTATTTTAAAATTTGTAATATTTGCATTTTACATGAAGCTTTAACAGTTTTTTTTAAGGCAGTGTGTATACAAGATTTTTTTTTCTGCAGTTCATCATCCTATGCACACATGGGGTATGAGAACCAAAGTACAAAGGGAGACTATATAATCACACAGATTAATCTCCTCTCTCACAACTGCACATATGCCCATGCTTTGCTAACTATGTGCCCAGCTTTTCCCTTAATTTACAATAAATGGAAACTCAGTAATAATAAAGCAGCTTGCTATAAAAATACATGAAGTAGAGTTTTATCATTTTGATTATTTTTTAGTAAAAAAGTATATTTTCTTTTAAAACCATATTTAAATAAAATCTCCACAAATATTTTTCAGTAGTCATAATATTTTCTATGAATCTTTAGATGAAAAATATTTATTCATTTTCCCTTTAAAGCTTTAAAAACTTGTTACCTAAATAACATTTTATAAGTTATCACATTTTTTTGAATGAAGTGTTACAGGTCTTTGAGAAGATAAAAATACTTCCATCCCAACAATTGAATATATAACTTATTTGGTGATATAGCATTGAGTTAATTTAATGTTGAGTGGTATATTAAATTATTCTTATTGGGTCAACAAATAAAAAGTTGCAGATATTCTAGACAGTGTTTCTTTCATAATCTTTTTAAGGATGTAAATGAGTCTAATAAATGAGTCATATATACACATGAAGAATTGAATATTCCAAAAAGTTGACTTTCAAGAGTAAATCCCTAAGGAAAGAAAAACCCCCCCTTTTTTTTTTTTTTTAAGAGGGCAATGTTTATCAATTAGGCATATTATTGGACTTTAGGAAAAAAGCCTCCATTCTTATTTATCCTTAATACAGATTTAAATGCTAAATAAATTTTTGACTAATATTCCAAAACTGCTTTACTTCATTAACTCATCAGTGTCATGTATGTATTGACAGCAAGTGTAGGAAGTACTTCTCTGGATATTTGTTCAGGCAAATTTTTAGATAAAGCAGTCCTTGCAAAGAGATTTCTAACATCAGAGCTCACCACTGTAGTTTATGCAGGTATATTTAATTTGTAAGTGGACTAGCTGTCCTCAAAGTCAACTCCTCCTAGAAGGGAAGTATGAATCTTTGATTTATAAAACTAACAAAAATAAGAGCAGTGTTGTAGTTTTATTACATAAATTTAAAAAAATAATATGTGTACATATATCACTAGAAAATAGAAAAGTAAAAATTTGCCTTAGTGGTATAATTTAAGGAGTTCTATTAACATATCCTGATATGATGCAGTGAGCATACTATATCTCTTTTATGATATTATTGCTAAAAATACAATCCAATGAAATCATTAAAAATATCAGACGATCTGAAATTGAGAAATACACTACAAAATAACTTGTCAGTACTCTTCAAGTGTCAATATCTTGAAAGAAAAGAAAGTTTGAGGAGATTTTCTGGGCTAATGGAGACTGAAGAATTTATAAGTAAACACATTGCAATCCTTTTTGGATCCTCGACCAGGAAAAGGACATCAGTGAAACAGTTCGCAAAATTTAAATATAATCTACAGATTAGAAATTATTGTATCAATATTAACCTTCTGGTTTCTATCATTTTACTGTGGTTATATAAAATGTTAACATTTGGGGAGTGTGGTTGCAGGTGGAAATAGGACTTTTTTGAACTATTTTTGTAATTTTTTTATATGTCTGAATAATTTCAAAATAAAAACTAAAAAATTAAAATTTATTTCTCAGCATCAAGCCATTGTTGAATGTAAGTTGATATCTACTAAGAGCCAGGTGCAGTGGCTCACACCTGTAATCCCAGCCCTTTGGGAGGCTAAGGCAGGAGGATTGCTTGGGGCCAGAAGTTCGAGACCTGCCTGGGCAACATATTGAGACATTGTCTCTACAAAAAATAAAAGCAAAGTTAGCTGGACATGGTGGCTTACGCCTCTAGTCCCAGCTACTTGGGAGGCTTAAGCAGAAAGATTGCTTGAGCCCAGCAGTTCAAGGCCAGTGAGCTATGACCACGCTTCTGCACTCCAGCTTGAGCAACAGAGTGATACCTTGTCTCTTAAAAAAACAACAACAAATAAACAACTACTAAGAGCCACATTTTAGGCTCTTATTAATATCAACATCATTTTCTTTGTGATGGTGTCTGATGTCACTAAGTACAAAGGGCAAAAGGAAAACATATACATATAGATCAAATCAGATTCCTTGAGAGTAAAATGTGGACTTATAAATATTGGTAGAACACAAGTAAATGGGGACTGTTCAGAGAAAACTGGGGAGTATAATCACTGAATTTAGAGACCCTATTTAGAGAAGAACTATCTGGGCTTACAGAAGAACACACTCTGTAATAACAGTGACTCATCCATCTTTGAGCTTTAACCACTTAGCACAGTACTTTGCATATAGTAAAAAGTCAATACATGTTTATTGAACTACATAGGAGTCTGGTGAAGAGGTCAACTTCATATGGGGACAAATGGCCTATTTCATCAGTTCAATGTGGGACTAGCCAGTCCACTCAGTAGATAAAGTTTGGGCAGATTTCCCACCTTATTGCTGTATTTTCAAAACTATTAACATCCTTGGTATTTATAATCCCATATATGATGCAAATCCAAGAGCCAGAAGAGATTGTCAACTCAGGAGAAGAGGTCACAGAAAGAAATGAATGGGCTGCTGAGACGTTCGATAGCAATGTTAGGAATTTCTGTGGTTGAAAAAAGAAAATAAAATTGAATATCTTTACTTCTTTAGAGAAAGCATAAACAATGAGTGATTATTGAATTGAGAACTACTTTGTAGAGGGCAATCTAATTGTTGACTATGCCCCTGGAGGTGTAAATCAGAAAATCATTGGATACCACTAGTTCACAAATTCTCTTTCATCACACGCAAACAACAAATGCCTCAACAATCAATCAAACAGTTCATTCAGAATCTGGTGCTGTGTCAGAAAGATTGCTAAATGCTATTTGTTACACTGCATTATCTTTCAGTAAGTAAGAATATAGTTTTTCTAAGTTTTTCTCTCAATCAAAACCACATATTGATATATACCTGCTGTCTTTCACAAGTCAAAAATACCAACAAAGCTTTGAATTGCTTTCAGCTATGTGGAGACAACTCGGTTCATTCCCCTTGACAGGTTATAAACTTTAAGCATTAATTCTATATTTACATATTGCTAATTTAAAGGAGTGAATGTCACTTTACCTTTACTGATTATCAAATCAGTGACTGTCTCAAATTAGGGTATAATTAATAAAGCAAGTATTCTTGCTAACTTTGAACAATGAGAATGTGGAAAGATTTTATTTTCTATGTCTTCCATTTTAATTAATAAATCAGTGTTCTGCTAAGGATTGCAATGTATTTATGTAAAAGACAAAATAATTTTTGGAGGGCCTGAGGAAGGAGTAGTGATGGCAGGGTGTCATTAGGCTGACGTGAGCTTAGCGAAACTTTCATAAGTATTTGCTGATTTTATTTAGGAAAAAGCTCTTATTTAAAAACACTCAATGAAAAAAACACAGTAAGAAAACCACAGGAAAAAAATAAAATAAAATAAATGGAAACATTTAGGCATTAGGATTATATTTATCAAAAATATGAATATAATTACTGATCATAGATTAGTTCTTGTTTTTTAACAAAACTTAAATTTTGATATTTCAGGAAAATGTCTTTTTATTTCCCCTAAGAAAAGAGAAATTAGAAATCAAGCAGGCATAAGTATTTATTCTCTCAACCTTGAGCATGCAAATCTCTGAATTTATATTTAACTGGAATAGTAACATTTAAAGACATTCTGGAAGTGGGAATGGGAGGAGGACTAGAGGGTATTAATTATGCTACATAAGCCGTCCAAAATATAAAGGAGATTTAATTCATCAGAAACAATGCAACTGGAGATTTTTTAAAAACAAAATATTTTCTTTATAATGTTTAAGATGTCTTCACAACTTAACTCCTACATTTTACCCATATATTTCTCTAAAAGCATAACAGATCTAGTACCCCCAAGAACTGGACAAAAGTTCAGGGATTAGACGTGAGAATAAGAGAGCAGGAGGCAGAATGAAAAGGTAGACATAATTTCTTTCTTCATTTTAGATTCTAGACACAAAGGAGAGAACCAATCTTGAAACAGTTTATATTCCTTGGAGACGAACAATATGTAAATGAATAGCATTCTACTACTATTAAGTTTATCGGGGCCAGGTACAAGTTATATATGGAAAAAGATCCAATTTTATTCTTAGTTTAGCAAGAATAAGAAGCTAAAATGGGGTCATTTTTAGTTATTTAAATTTAAATAACTTTGCTAATGCTGCCCTCCATTTCTCACATTATGAATATTCACAGTTTTGTGCGCCATGGTGTCAACTCTAGTTTCAGCAAGTATCATTTATAACTTAAATATATATCAAAATGGATTGTCTTAATAAATATTTTAAAAGTCTTAATTGCTTTCTAGTGAACATTATATAGAAGCCAATGAGACTTTTGGAGTGAGTTGCTCCAGGGATGCCCAGACCTAGGAGAAGATAATTGTTGACCTTTTACATAAACAGGTATTTTCTTCAGTATGAATTACATACCGGCATCACCTATAAAACTTTTGAAAAATACTGATGTCCAGACTCCAATCCAGATCAATTAAACATCTCCTCTAGGACTGGGACCCCAGATACAGTAATTTTCAACTCCTCAGATGCTTATTTCAAGCCAGGGTTGAGAAACAATGATGTAAATGTTTTAATAAGGATTAAACCTCTCAGTGGTGGAAACTCAGCTTCCCACTTCCTTTCTCTCTCTCCCTCATACTAGCTGTGTGATTTGGCCAAATTTCCTCCTTTATAAAATGAGGATGAAACTAGTAACTCTCTCAGGGGATTGCTAAATTAATAACATGAGTTAATATTTGTAGAATAATTCAAACAATAGTAATAACTGTGTAAATGTCTGTTAAATAAATGTAAAAAACAAATCAGGCCTTGGAGTAAAGGGGAAACCCATTTTAGGATGGTAAGGGAGTAGGTTTAGTAGTCTGAAGTCCTGAGAGGTCTCACAACAGTCAGAACATTATTAATGGTTTAGCTTGGGCTTGATCAAAAAGTCCAATCAAATAGAAATTGTTTCAATATTTGATGATTTATTTAGTTGTGAATGACCGAAATAAAACTGACTAATAATTGTTGATGCACATAACTGAAAAGACCAGTGGCTCAAATGAGGCCTTATGGTTTGAAGACACTTTCTCCTCTTTTTTTTTTTTTTTTTTTTTTTGAGACAGAGTCTCACTCTGTCACCCAGGCTGGAGTGAGTGAAGTGGCAGGATCTCAGTTCACTGCAACCTCTGCCTCCTGGGTTCAAGCAATTCCTGTGCCTCAGCCTCCCAAGTAGCTGGAATTACAGGCACATACCACCACACTTGGCTAGTTTTTGTATTTTTAGTAGAGATGGGCTTTTGCCATGTTGCCCAGGCTGGTCTTGAACTGCTGATCTCAAGTAATCCACCTGCCTTGGCCTCCCAAAATGCTGGGATTACAGGAATGAGCCACTGTGCCCGGCCACTTTCTCCTCTTTCTTAACTCTGCTTTTCTTTCTAGGCTTCAACCTCAGATACACTCTTCCTTTTCACAGCAAGTAGTTCCATCTTATATGCATTCTGTTTGGTAATTCAAGGAAAGAGAGACCATTCTTCCCTCTGTAGATCCATGCAGAGTCCCAAGATTGAGTTTCCTTGTCTCTGGCTTGCCCTGTCCAGAAGGGCGTTAATTGCCTTTGCTGCCCTGATACCACAGTCTTCCAGTTTTCTTACCGAAGAAGTCATCACTGAGTGCAGGGAAATTTGATGCTCAAATTAATTAGACCTAATTCATATGCTCATTTTGAGAAGTTGGAGTTAACCTTGCACAAACCACACAGATAGAGTGGGGGATTAGTAATCCCTGAAAGAAAAAGCAGGGTGCTTGTTATCAGGAAAGGGAAAACGGATGTGGAGCAGGCTAACAACAACAGATGTCACCATGGTTAAGGGATAATCATTCTATGCCTCTTTGAGACTGCTTTAGTGGGAGCCTATGTTCAACTAGATTTAAAATCTGTGAGATGGCACATTCAGAGGCCCTGAAAGGATCTTCTCTCATTGCACAAAGCTGCCTGCCTGTTATTTCTGAAATTCTTTTAAGAGTGGACATAACATTCATGTTAAGACTTAAAATGGAAATTACTCTGGACAAGAGAAATACTTCTCTAGACTCAAATTAAGATATAATTTGTTGACATGAGATCCTCTCTGGGGAAAAAAAAGTTTTGATGGGACAAGAGGTAAAAGAAGCCAGGGAACAAGTAAATGGGCACAGAGAGGTGAAGCACTGGGCACACAGTCCACTGATCACAGCTGCCAAGGCTGGGCCCTTGTGAGAACTCTAAAGCACCGGCTACTCAGGAAGTCACATTCTGGCATCTTAGAGCCCTCAGTGTAACTCCCAATTTCATAATCTGCCTAAATTACTTTGATTCAAAATCAATTCTTTGGGTGGTTATAGATGGGATGGATTGTGGGTGCCAAAACAGTCCTTCAATTCAGTGAAAGCCTTGATTGTTTGACATTATGAGGATTAAATATTGTGGTTATTGGCTAATTTCTTTCACATTTAAAGATGTTGCTGGGACATCATGCAGACAAGCCAGTTTTAGCTCTAGCAACTGCCAGAAATGGCACTGTGACCTTAAGACTTGGACACTTTTATCTTGGAAACTGGACCACTAGAAGACTGAAAGATTTTACTTCCTTTTCCAGATACGCTTTTTTAGGGTGCTGTGTGTGCTTCTGTTTTTATTTGGCTTGCCCCCCTTCAATTTCATTTACTCCTATTTAACAAATGTGTACTGAGCAACTGCTATACATCAGTGCTCCATGCAGAGTAATAACGTGCTTTTTAAAAATTAGCTTCTCTGTGACCTCTGTGGTGAATTTGTCAGATTTCTGCTGTGAAATTTGGTTTGTGTTTTTTCTATAAATCTGACCTGTCGATTTAATCCTCCCATTTCTAACTTCTGCTTCTGTTTCTTCACTCTGCTGCCCAGAATTACATTAATGTGCCTTTGTTTCCATGACATCAGAATCCTCTGGTTTTCCCCCAAGTCCTTTCTGCTGTCTCTTTCTCTGTCTTCCTCACTCCTTCCATGTTAAGTGCTCTTTAGATCAAATTTCCTTATTCTTCTAGGTGGGCTACATGTCCCTTCTATATGTCCCCATAATACCTTACTAAAAAAAAAAAATCATCCTGCACTGTAATGAGTTGTTTGCATGTTGGTATTTTAACCAGAATTTAAATTACTGGGGAAAGAAACTGGATAGTATTCACTGTTTTAACTACTACGAAGTCCAATGCCTAAAACTGAAAATAAACTCTACTCCTGATAGAGCAGATCCAAGATATTTTGCCTGAAGGAGACACATGACAGAGAGCATCAGGGCCATTCCAGGCCCATGAGATAGTGAAATGAGATCGTGAAATTAGATCTAATGCTATAAAGCAGCTCTTCCCCAAAACAGAAAACCATGGCACTTCCAGTTCAGGAATATGGAATCAGAATCTTTGTTAATCACCAGATAGTGTTGCAGACTTAGAAACCAAGGCCCTATACTTATACTTGGGTGTAAACTTTTACTTAACTCAGAGTTAAGACAGTACCTTTTGCCACATTTAAAAGAAAGCTAAATCTCAACATAGGTGGGCTGTGATACTGACTAAAAGAATAATTGGAGACCAGAGATTTTTATGGAAGAAATGAAGAGCAATAATTGTTATTGAATAACTCAGGTAAAAAATGATTCTGTGAAACTTCTTAAGAAGGGCATGCTCATCTGTCCAATAAATCTTCTTCTAGAAATTTGTATGCTGATGAGAATACTAAAATATGGAGAAAACAATTATAATGGAAGGAAGTACTGCTGAAGTGATGTTCATGAGAAGTCAAGAGGAAACGGGATCTCGCATAGATGGACGGAATTGCCTTGGTTAAGAGTACAGAGAGTTCCTCCTTGTAGGAAAGGCTACACTAAGGGCAGAGACACAGGTGGGATCATGTAATTCCTCCTCTGATTGTTTTTGTTTTCACATTGAAATAAGTAGCAGGTCATTACTGAGAATAAGGAGGTGCTTGAAGTTTAAAATATGAAAGTATGAAATATGAAAGTAAAGAAAGAAATACAAAGTAAGAAATATTAAAGTAAGAAAAAGAAGTTTCTAATAAGAGTGGGAGAGCAGCGAATGACTTCCACATTGCTGAATCCACTGGCCATTTCTCTGGAAATTCGAATGATAGACACAGCGTTTAATATAGTTCTTTACGCTCTCCTTTTTAGAATACTTTCTTCACATACTTGCTTTTTTTTTTTAATTTTTTGACCTTCTCAGCCTCTTTTGCTGGTTTTGTAGCATCTCCCCAAACTCCATCAGTTGAAGTGCCCCCCAGCTGGAAATCTGAAACTCTTTCAACCTACACTCCCTAGATGATCCAACCAATTTTTATGACTTTAAAAATCATGTATGTGAGGCCAGGCGCGGTGGCTCACGCCTATAATCCCAGCACTTTGGGAGGCTGAGGCGGGCGCATCACAAGGTCAGGAGACTGAAACCATCCTGGCTAACACGATGAAACCCCGTCTCTACTAAAAATACAAAAAATTAGACCGGCGTGGTGGCGGGCGCCTGTAGTCCCAGATACTCGGGAGGCTGAGGCAGGAGAATGGCGTGAACCCGGGAGGCGGAGCTTGCAGTGAGCCGAGATCGCGCCACTGCACTCCAGCCTGGGCGACAGAGCAAGACTCCGTCTCAACAAAAAACAAAAAACAACAACAACAACAACAACAACAAAAATCATGTATGTGCTGATGGCTCTGGAATTTATACTTCCAGCCCAGATTTCTCTACCAATTCCAGATTAATATATACAACTGCCCACTTCATGTCTCCGCTTGGAATTGTACCATACGTCTCAAACTGAATATGTACAAAATAGAACCCCTGAGACTCCCCACTCCCTACAAATCTGACCCTCCTTTTTTCTTTCCAAATTTGGTACATGGCAGCTCCAATCTTCTGATTATCCACACACAGAACTTGAAGTCACTCTTGATGACTCCCTTTCAGCAAACCGCATTTCCAGTTCACCAATGTAAGTTTTTGGCTATAATTTAAAAATATATCCAGATCAAATCACATTCCCCCAATTCCACTGCAGCTACCACTCTGAACTAAGCTACCTTCACCTTTAGACTTCTAACTAGTTACCCTTTTTTAGTCTGCTCTTTCTTTTCCTCCATCTACTTCAGCTACAGTCCCCACCTCAATGTTCCTAGAATACACTAGGCATGTTCCCAGTTTAGGACTTTTGTACTTACTATTTTCTCTGCCTTGAACACCATTTCCTGTGTTAGCCATATGGCCTATTCCCTTGTTCTCTTCAAGTCTTTACAGATGTATAGAAAAGAGTATGAAAGATTATATATCAATATCTTATCATTAAAGTTTATAGAATACACACGCATACGTACTTAATTTGGCTCTCTTCAGAGAGTGGAATTTAAGGTGATTTTTTGAAGTTTCTATTTTAATACATAAATAGTTTCTTAGTTTCTCAGTTCTAATGAACGTAACAATAATAAAGTTCTACCACGCTTCAAAAAATGCTTTCTTCAAATGGAGTTAAATAGTGCCATGACTTATAAACTTGCTATTCACTCTTCCTCATTGATATGATTAGTCTTTAGTAAATGTTATATGTGATATCTTCATCGCGCTCATCTTTTCTTCTCCATTAGTTTCGTTTGATATACTTTAGTGAGGGTTTAGAAGCCTAATACTTGAGATCTTCAATTGCATTTGAAGATTTTGTATTCACCTTTTACTGATATAATAAATGATTATAAGTGCATTTGGAATTACTTACACTAGAATGAACATCACAGGGATGATTGGTATAGCAATGATGACGGTGAGAGTAACACACACTATTGTAGATTTCCTATGCATCCGACTCTACCATAAACACATACAATACTCAGACTAGTCTCATGAAAGAGATACTATTGCTTCACCCTTTTAAAGATAAGGAAACTGAGAAACAGATATGAGATTAAATAATTTGTCTAAGATTACCCAAGTAAATCAGGGAGCTTGAATTCAAAGTGAGATTTGTTTGGTTTCAGTGGCTGTGATATTGGCCACTTTACTTTTCTACCAACAAAACGGTCATCTCTCTGTTAATAGCCTCCACAAGATGGGAATCAGATTAATTTAAACCGAGATTCAGGCAATGATGAAACTTATCAGAGGGATTTTTTCCACCTGGCACTAGATAACTCCTCACTCTCCCTAAGGTCTCCTGTTAAGCTATTAAATTGCTGGTATAAGACACAGGCATAAGGAGATAAGCACAAACATTAACTTCTAATTCTTCCTCTTTCACTAATTTGGTATAATTTTTCAACAACTTCTTTCTATATAGCAGATTTCTCAGTTTTAAAATTAATGTTTTTGGCTGGGTGCTGTGGCTCACGCCTGTAATCCCAGTACTTTGGGAGGCTGAGGCAGGCAGATCACTTGAGGTCAGAAGTTCCAGACTAGCCTGGTCAACATGGTGAAACCCCGTCTCTGCTAAAAATACAAAAATTAGCCGGCTGTGGTGGCAGGCACCTGCTACTAGGGAGGCTGGGGCAGGTGAATCACTTCAACCCAGGAGATGGAGGTTGCAGTGAGCTGAGATTGCACCACTGTACTCCAGCCTGGGCAACAGAGCAAAACTCTTATCTCGAGGAAAAAAATAAATAAATAAAATAAAAAATAAAAAAATTAGTGTTTTTATTTTTTCTAAGAAAACTTCCAGTGCAGCATTTAAAAAATATTTTATAAATGTTTGCTTCAAATGTATAATTATACACCAGTAATATTTTATTCCAGTTGGAGACTCAGGAATCAATTTTACAATAAAATATTAAAATATAAAGAGGTTTTATAAATACATTTTGGCTTTCTATCATGTTAGTAGGGTGGTAGTGAAGACCATCACAGAGGTATTTAAGTTCTAAGGTAAGATCTTCCATTATTTTCAACAGATATTGCTTAAACAAGAGCAGGCCACTAGGACTTTCATGGTCCCTGCTTTTTCTGTTGAAATGAGGCCAGAAGAGAACAGTGATTTGCTCTGGGGAGTGTTTGCCTTATGTAGACAAAGCCCTAAGAAGTAGACTCCTAATAGCTGTAGAGGGAAGGTTGAACGTTCAGAGCTTCTTGCAATGTTAATTAAAGTCTATCATTCTTTGGAGAACTTTGAACATAATGAACACTGGTAACATGGGTACTGCTTGGCTAATCAACATTAAGTTAAATGTAGATAGTGATTAGCACTATTATACTCTGAGTTGACACATGTTCAATTCTGGGAATAAATAAAATTTTCTCTAATTTTTTGTAGTTTTAAAATTGGAAAAACGAATAGAATGAGAAATAAACTTTATACAGTCGCATGGTCAATCATGGTGTTTGAATCGCGTAAGTTGAAAAGGGATATTTGGAAGCCTTAGCGGAAAAGTCAGGGAGCTTCAACCGACCTTTAAATTTCACAGGTGCCTATTTTCTAACAAGAAAATATTTGTATAGAAGCAGTGAGGAAGAACCATTCATTCTAATTATAGAAAAACCTTGCCATAACCCGAGAAGTGCGCCCTAAAAATACAATCGCATAAAATAAGGGGTTTCTTTCATTCAGATTTCTGTGTCCTGCTGCAGTAGGACCCGTTTCCGGCGGTTTCACTGCAGCATCTAACCCCATTCCTTTCAGTCCCTGCTGTGGTTTGGCGCCATCTGGTGGAAGTTAGGCTCTGGTTTAAAAAGCAAGCAGTTGATTTTGGTTCCTGTGTCTGGATGCCAAGGACTTCCAGGATAGCGTTAGCGATTTTGAAACTTCCTAGTTAGTTTACAATTGTTTCATCTCCCCAGACTCTCCAGCAGGAGAGTCTGACCCAGGAGAATATTGGAGATGAAGGGATCCACTATTTCTCCCACTTTTTCAGATGGAGGATGAGAGGAGTGCAGCAGCCAATTCCCATTCACATTATATCCAAATTGGTGTTATCACAGCATTTTACTGAATGTATGCCCATCCATAAAGTATTGGTTGATTGGTTGATTCTTAACCTGAATTAAGGCTGGAGGCCAATGCTGGAGTTATCTACTCTTGCAGAGGCAGATAGTTTTTTCTTCCCTTCATTAATTTCCTAGCTGACCAGGCTTCCAGTTTTCATTGTCTCTGTCTGGGGCTTTTATTTAAGGTTCTGCTGGGTACCCAGCCCCTTTTTATGGTTCATTCTTTTTTGTCTGTAATCATTGCAAGTTCCTCAGCTTAGTATTTCTTCATTATACACAGCAGTGTTGGCTTGTTTGCTTCAGAACTTCCAGAATCTCTTCACTGCTTTTGGCTGCTGGTGGAGTGGTGGTTTGAATTTTATTATTTATATAGTTTGTATATTTTATAGCTTTCTACCAGCAAATTGAATTTAGTTTTATTTGTACATTTCTGTGATCTTTTCAAAGAGATTTGGAGAAGGAAGAGAGGTAACTATATTTGCTTAGGCAGTCACCTTGTTAGGGAGTTTGTTCCCTTATTTATTTATTTATTTGAGATGGAGTCTCTGTCACCCAGGCTGGAGTATAGTGGCACGATCTTGGCTCACTGCAACCTCCGACTCCTGGGTTTAAGCGATTCTCCTGCCTCAGCCTCCTGAGTAGCTGGGATTACAAGCGCACACCACCATGTCAGCCTAATTTTTGTATTTTTAGTAGAGACTGGGTTTCACCGTGTTGGTCAGGCTGGTCTCGAACTCCTGACCTCAAGCGATCCACCTGCCTTGGCCTTTCAAAGTGCTGGGATTACAGGTGTGAGCCACAGCCCCCAGCCATTTGTTCCCTCTTTAATAGGTGAATGTATGCAACTCCTTCTGTTTGAATAACCAATAACGGCATTTCTCAGTTATGGACTGAATGTGAGGACACTGTGAGAAGGCAGCCATCTACCAGGCCAGAAGAGGGCCCTCACCAGCACCTGAGCATGCTTTGAAGTCAGGTGGATGCTGGCACCCTGCTCTTGGGCTTCCTACCTATATTAGTCCTTTCTCACACTGCTATGAAGAACTGCCGGAGTCTGGGTAATTTATAAAGATAAGAAGTTTAATTGACTCACCGTTCTGCATGGCTTGGAAGGCCTCAGGAAACTTACAATCATGGCAAAAGGCAAAGGAGAAACAGGAAACTTCTTCCCGAGATGGCAGGAGAGAGAATGCATGCAAGCAGGGGAAATGCCAGATGCTTATAAAACCATCAGATCTCATGAGACTCACTCATTATCATGAGAACAGCATGGGGGAAACTGCCCCCATGATCCAATTATGTCCACCTAGTCCTGCCCTTGACACATGGGGACTTCAATTCAAGATGAGATTTTGGGTGGGGACACAGCCAAACCATATCATCCCACCCCTGACCCCTCCCAAATCTCATGTCCTCACATTTCAAAACACAATAATGCCTTTCCAATGTCCCTCAGAGTCTTAGCTCATTCCAGCATTAACCCCAAAGTTCAAGTCCAAAGTCTGATCTGAGACAAGGCAAGTCCCTTCCGCCTATGAGCCTGTAAAATCAAAAGCAAATTGGTTACTTCCTAGTCACAATGGGGGTAGAGGCATTGGGTAAATACACCCTTTGCAAATGGGAGAAATTGGCCAAAACAAAAGGGCTACAGGCCCCATGCAAGTCTAAATTCAAAATGGATTTTGCAAATTTTCCAAACTTTTATGTTCTGCTTCCCTTTTAAATGTAAGTTTCAATTCCATGTTTTATCTTTGTGAATACATAAAACTGAATGCTTTTAATAGCATCCAAGTCACATAGTGAATGCTTTGCTGCTTAGAAATTTCTTCCACTAGATACCCTAAATCATCTCGCTGAAGTTCCAAGTTTCACAGATCTCTAGGGCAGGGGCAAAATGCTGCCAGTCTCTTTGATAAAACATAGGAAGAGTCACCTTTATTCCAGTTCCCCACAAGTTCCTCATCTCCGTCTGAGACCCCCCCAGCCTGGACTCATTGTCCATATTACTATCAGCATGTTGGTCAAAGCCGTTCAACAAGTCTCTAGGAAGTTTCAAACTTTCCCACATCTTCCTGTCTTTTTTTTTTTGAGCCCTCCAAACTGTTCCAACCTCTGCCTGTTACCCAGTTCCCAAGTCGCTTCCACATTTTCAGGTATCTTTACAGCAGCACCCCACTACCTGGTATTAATATACTGTATTTGCCTGTTCTCATGTTGCCATAAAGAACTGCCCGAGACTGGGTAATTTATAAAGAAAAGAGGTTTAATTGACTCACAGTTTCCCATGGCTGGGGAGGCCTCAGGAAACTTACAATCATGGTGGTAGGCATCCTTCACAGGGTGTCGGCAGAGAGAATAAGTGCAACCAGGGGAAATGCTAGATGCTTATAAAACCATCAGATCTTGTGAGACACCCTCATTATCACGAGAACAGCATGGGGGAAACCGCTCCCATGATCCAATTACCTCCACCTGGTCCCACCCTTGACATGTGGAGATTACAATTCAAGATGAGATTTTGGGTGGGGACACAGCCAAACCATAACACTAGCCTTCAGAACTGTGAGAAACAAATGTTTACTCTTCAAGCCACCCAGTCTATGGCATTGGTGTAGCTCACTAATATCCTCTCTATGCTTTCTCAGATTTCTAAAGTGTTGGCCTACATTATGTGTTCTTCATGTCTCCAACTTTTTTATTTCTTCTTCAAATAATTCCTGTTTTCAGTATTTGGAAAAGCTCTTCCTACCTCCACCATTCCTTTAATGAAAATGATGGCTGTAATCATCCTCTTCTGACCCCACTCTATAAAAACACTACAAACTCTTCTGCAAATATTTATTATCTTACAAATTGGACTTACCTGTCTAGTCAGAACAACAGCACTTGCAATCATTATTTTTCTTTTTTTCCAGTTTTTAAGAAAACGTTAGATTTATCATGAATATAGAAAACAAGGACTGACATTTTTGTACAGCACACAGTATAGTCAGATTTAATATACTGAAATATACTGATCCTGACACTGGTTTTTGTCTATTTTCAAATTTCTTTTTATTTCACCTTTATTGGGAATCTTTATTTCGCCTCATGTTTCTATACTTCAGTTTTCTCATTTGTAGAATTGGAATATTGGATTATGTTCTGTCCTAGAATTAACACAATAATAGCAATATCATTATCACCAGTAACTTATATTTGTGTAGCATTTTACTATTTACAAAAGACTTCTGTATGTTAGCAATTAAACTCAATATCCTTGAAAGCCAAAGATTGTAATTAATCATTTTAGAAATAAGAGAAATAAGCCTTAAGTAATTTGTACAAGGGAGAAAATTTGGTATGTGGTGGAGCTAAGATTAAAACTTAAGATCTCTGATTCTAAATTTCATGTTCTTTCTACCATGCCACAGTGTTTTCTTATTTGGGAGATCAGGGATATATCTATTTTTTTCCCTATTATTCTATCATTTAATGACTTTTTAAATGCCAGACTGCTCTCTTTATAAAACGATGCAAAATGTATTGTACATGTGGTTCATCTTTATTGTTATTGTTGTTTTTTTAGAGACAGGGTCTCCCTCTATCACCCAGGCTGGAGTGCAGGGGTGCAATCATAGCTTACTGCAGCCTCAAATCTCCTGGGCTCAAATGATCCTCCCGCCTCAGTCTCCCTCTTGAGTAGCTGGGACTACAGGCTTGTGCCACCATGCCTGGCTAATTTATTTTTATTTTCAGTAGATACGGGGTCTCACTATGTTGCCCAGGCTGGTCTCCAAGTCCTGACCTCAAGTAATCCTCCTGCTTCAGCCTCCCAAAGTGCTAGGATTACAGGAGTGAGCAACCATGCCCAGTCTACACATGGTTTACCTTAAGCCATTTCCAAAAAAAAAAAAAAAGCTAATTCTACTTTCAAAAAGAGACTTCCAATAAACATGTGGGAAATCGCTACTGCTGTACTTAACACAGTCCTTCTCCATCGAAAGTGAGGAGTTTCCAAATTAGGGAAAAGGTGCCAAGATCACCACCACAAAGAGGGGATGGCAGGGATTCGAAGGAAGTGAGACTGGGTTGGCACTGTGATATGACTTCCAGATTAGCTTTCTAACCCCAGAAAAGCCCAAAGAGCTCTAGAGATTGAAGAGAGACACCAAAAGATGCAGTTCTGTGACCAGAATGGGCACTGGTTTTGAAGCCAGATGAACCTGGGTTCACACCCTGCTCCCTCTCCTCTGACAAGCTGAGTAAACATGCTCGACTTTGCTGACCTCTTAGAGTCTAGGTTTTTTGATTTGCAAGATACCTACTACATGTGGCAAGGGGGAGGTGAAAATGCCATAAATGTATAAAAAGCACCAAATTCAATGTCAAGAGTGTTGATAATATCTAATAACATGTCTGGTGTGATACTGTGATATAAGAAATATATTTGGTGTCTGCCCCCTGGTTCCTTGCACAAAACTCTCATAGATATGGGCTCTAGAAGAATCTTTTGTTCTGATATTTGGGTTTTGACCCCAGCTGCTGACAGAGTTCCTAAGACCTTTATAATTTCTTTAATGATAGGAACAACTGACACAGTTCCTAAATCCCCTGGAATTTTTGGCTGACAGGAACATCTTTTGTTCTAATGAAGTGACTCTCAGTGGGCTCCTGGATGGCCTCTGGTTGGGGTTGGCTGCCCCCCAACCCCATGTGATTGGGGAACCAACCATGTGATTAGAAGGTTGGAACTTTAGGTTCTGTCCCCTGGCCACTGAGGTAGGGAGGAGGACTGAAGATTAAACTGATCACCAATGGCCAATGATTTAATCAGTTGTGCCTACATTATGAGGCTTCCATAAAACCTCTAAAAGACTAGGTATGGGGAGCTTCAGGATAGCTGAATGTGTGGAGGTTCCTGAGGATGGTGCACTCAGAGAGGGCCTGGAAGCTCTGCATCTCTTCTGTCATACCTCACCCTATGCACCTCTTCCACCTGGCATAGGTGGAACATTACAAAGCTGTTCATGTGTATCCTTTGTAATATCCTCTATGATAAATGGGTAGATGTTAGTAAAGTGTTTCCCTGAGTTGTACGAGCCACTTGAGCAAACTAATTGAAACCAAGGAGGGGATCATGGGAACCCCAAATTACAGCCAATCAGAAGTACAGGTCACAATCTGAGACTTGCCATTTGCATGTGAAGTGGGCACAGCGTTGTGAGATTGAGCCCTTAATCTGTGAAATCTGTTGCTATCTCCAGGTAGATAATGTCAGAATTGACTTAGAGGACACTAAGCTGGTGTCTGCTGGAAAATTGCTTGGTTTGTGGGGAAAAACCCACATCTGGGGTTAGAAGTGTCGTATTGAGTGGCCGTGTAAGAGTTGAGGGAAAATAAAAACAGTTGTTTTTTTCTTCTTACATCTGGCTATACATTCAATCTGGTAGGTATACCAGATAGCAACTGAAACTAGATTATGTAATCTCTGCACCCATTAACAATTCTACCATTTAAAAATTATTCTGGACTACGATTTAAAAAAAATATTTTAAGTGCTACCAATGTGCTGATATAAACAATGTCAAATTTAATGCTTTAACTTGAGAAATCCATACTTGCATTGAAGAAATTCACCCACTTAATAAATATTTGCTGAGCATCTACTGGAGCTCAGTGCTGAGGAATAAGACAAGTATTTTCTCAGCCCTCATGGAGTTTATATTTTATTTACACTTTCACTTAATTGTCTAAATAAATAAAGCATGAATGCAATTTTTAGAAAATCTTGCCATTGATAAGTCAAAATTTACTTTTAACTTTGGTATAAACTTCCCTTGACAACACTAACTCCCACAAGAATAACAAGGCAATAGATAAGTTTGGCAGAGCAACTATTTATGTCCTGTCTTCTGTGTTGCCAGGGTGATGGTAGCAATATTGAAAACATTGGAGGTGGTTGTTATTGGCAAGGATCCCGACTTTCATTTCCAAATGGAAGGACTGTAAAAAGCAAAATGTAGGCTGGGATGTGGGCAGTAGACTGGCTATGGCTATACATAAACTGGATGAATGGATTATTGATGATTAACCAAATGTGTATGCTATTGTTGTTAATGTAGCACTCATAGGCAATATTTCCTTAATGATATTCAAAAATCTATGAAATTTTAGGGATTACATCAAATATTTTGGTTTTCTTTGAAAAGCTAAGCCCTATCATTGTATGCTTTCAAAAATTGTGATTTTGTGGCTTTTTTTTTTGCCCATTTTCTCTTCCTCTCCTTTCTTTTGATGGAAAATAATTCAAAGGCATACTGAGCTTTTGGTCTCTCCACCAAAGAAGAATTGAAATGTTGCCACAGTATAAGTTTGGCTGCTAAAGAATTTTTTTAAACATTGAAATATATATTCTAAAGGAAATAAATGATTACATACTAACCCTGAAAAGAAAAAGTCATTTGTTAGGACTGCTAAATTGGAACGCACCACATGCATTCAGACATGTGAGCCAGAGGGAATTGGTGGTGATTTTTTCTCTCTTGCCAACTTCATTCAGTGAATCTCTAACTCCAAGCCAACTAGCACATTGTTACCGAATTAATGAAAACAACAACAATAAACTCCTTGTGAAGAATGCTATGAATTGAGCCTAAAAAACTCCACATCCTCCTCCCTATAGTGTGGTGCATTTATATGCTACAGAGTCGAGAGAAAGAAACAGAGAGAGACTGAGACTACATTTCTTAGATTTCTTTGCTGCTGAATTTCTTGATACAAATTAGGTTTTTCCAACGATATGCAATGCACAAAGTGATATTTGAAAGGCTCAAGTAATATGGAGACATTTTGTATATTTGATATAAATTTGTTGTTTGTGATAAAGTCATATTGATGAGAGGTTTATCTGCAGCAGAGTTTTAGTGTCTATTTTCTAGCTTCTTCGGTTTTGAGAAGCATTTTATAGCTACAACTCAGGCCCAGCCTGGAGCTCATTTCTCCAACTGTTGCAACTATTTAATTATTTATTTATTTTACTCTAAGTTCTGGGATACATGTGTAGAACATGCAGGTTTGTTACATAGGTATACGTGTGCCATGGTGGTTTGCTTCACCCATCAACCCGTCATCTACATTAGGTATTTCTCCTAATGCTATCCCTCGCCTTGCCCTCTACCCGCCAACAGGCCCCAGTGTGTGATGTTCCCCTCCGTGTGTCCATGAGTTCTCACTGATCAACTCCCACTTATGAGTGAGAATATGCGGTGTTTGGTTTTCTGTTCCTGTGTTAGTTTGCTGAGAATGATGGTTTCCAGCTTCATCCATGTTCCTGCAAAGGACATGAGTTCATTCTTTTTTACGGCTACACAGTATTCCATGGTGTATATGTGCCACATTTTCTTTATCCAGTCTATCCTTGATGGACATTTGGTTCCAAGTCTTTGCTATTGTGAATAGTGCTGCAATAAACATGCATGTGCATGTGTCTTTACAGAATGATTTATAATAGTTTGGGTAGATACCCAGTAATGGGATGGCTGGGTTAAATGGTATTTCTGGTTCTAGATCCTTGAGGAATCGCCACACTGTCTTCCACAATGGTTGAACTAGTTTACAGTCCCACCAACAGTGTAAAAGTGTTCCTATTTCTCCACATCCTCCCCAGCATCTGTTGTTTCCTGACTTTTTAATGACTGCCATTCTAACTGGCGTGAGATGGTATCTCACTGTGGTTTTGATCTGCATTTCTCTAATGACCAATGATGATGAGCTTTTATGCATGTGTCTGTTGACTGCATAAATGTCTTCTTTTGAGAAGTGTCTGTTCATATACTTTGCCCACTTTTTGATGGTTTTTTTTTCTTGTAAATTTGTTTAAGTTCTTTGTAGATTCTGGATATTAGCCCTTTGTCAGATGGATAGATTGTAAACATTTTCTTCCATTCTTTAGGTTGCTGGTTCACTCTGATGATAGTGTCTTTTGCTGTGCAGAAGCTCTTTAATCAGACCCCTTTTGGCTTTTGTTGCCATCGCTTTTGGTGTTTTAGTCAGGAAGTTTTTGCCAGTGCCTATATCCCAAATGGTATTGCCTAGGATTTCTTCTAGGGTTTTTATGGTTCTAGGTCTTACATTTAAGTCTTTAATCCATCTTGAGTTAATTTATGTATAAGGTGTAAGGAAGGTGTCCAGTTTCAGTTTTCTGCATATGGCTAGCCAGTTTTCCCAACACCATTTATTAAATGGGGCATCCTTTCCCCATTGCTTGTTTTTTTCAGGTTTGTCAAAGATCAGATGGTGTAGATGTCTGGTGTTATTCCTGAGGCCTCTGTTCTGTTCCATTGGTCTATCATATATCTGTTTTGGTACCAGAAGCATGCTGTTTTGGTTACTGTAGCCTTGTAGTATAGTTTGAAGTCAGGTAGCATGATGCCTCCAGCTTTGTTCTTTTGGCTTAGGATTGTCTTGGCAATGTGGGCTCTTTTTTGGTTCCATATGAAATTTAAAGTAGTTTTTTCCAATTCTGTGAAGAAAGTCAATGGTAGCTTGATGGGAATAGCATTAAATCTACATATTACTCTGGGCAGTATGGCCATTTTCAAGATATTGATTCTTCCTATCCATAAGCATGGAACGTTTTTCCATTTGTTTGTCCTCTTTTATTTTGTTGAGCAGTGGTTTGTAGTTCTCCTTGAAGAGGTCCTTCACATCCCTTGTAAGTTGGATTCCTAGGTATTTTATTCTCTTTGAAGCAATTGTGAATGGGAGTTCACTCATGATTTGAATCTCTATTATTGGTGTATAGGAATGCTTGTGATTTTTGCACATTGATTTTGTATCCTGAGACTTTGCTGAAGTTGCTTATCAGCTTAAGGAGTTTTTGGATTGAGACAATGGGGTTTTCTAAATGTACAATCATGTCATCTGCAACCAGAGACAATTTGACTTCCTGTCGTCCCATTTGAATACCTTTTATTTCTTTCTCTTGCCTGATTGCCCTGGCCAGAACTTCCAACACTATGTCAAATAGGAGTGGTAAGAGAGGGCATCCCTGTCTTGTGCTGGTTTTCAAAGGGAATGCTTCCAGCTTTTGCCCATTCAGTATGATATTGGCTGTGGGTTTGTCATAAATAGCTCTTATTGAGATATATTCCATCAATACCTAGTTTACTGAGAGTTTTTAGCATGAAGGGCTGTTGAATTTTATCGAAGTCCTTTTCTGCATCTATCATGTGGCTTTTGTCATTGGTTCTGTTTATGTGATGGATTATGTTTATTGATTTGTGTATGTTGAACCAGCTTTGCATCCCTGGGATGAAGCCAACTTGATCATGGTGGATAAGCTTTTTAATGTGCTGCTGGATTCGGTTTGCCAGTATTTTATTGAGGATTTTGCATCGATGTTCACTGGGGATATTGGCCTGAAATTTTGTGCGTGTGTGTGTGTGTGTCTGCCAGGTTTTGGTATCAGGATGATGCTGGCTTCATAAAATGAGTTAGGGAGGAGTCCCTCTTTTTCTATTGTTTGGAGTAGTTTCAGAAGGAATGGTACCAGCTCCTCTTTGTACCTTTGGTAGAATTAGGATGATAATCTGTCTGGATCTGGGCTTTTTTTGGTTGGTAGGCTACTAATTACTGCTTCAATTTTAGAACTTGCTTTTGGTATTCGACTTCTTCCTGGTATAGTCTTGGGAGGGCGTATGTATCCAGGAATTTATCCATTTCTTCTAGATTTTCTAGTTTGTTTGCGTAGAGGTGTTTGTAGTATTCTCTGATAGTAGTTTGTATTTCTGTGGGATCAGTGATGATATCTCCTTTATCAATTTTTATTGTGTCTATTTGATTCTTCTCTTTTTTCTTCTTTATTATTCTGGTTAGCAGTCTATTTTGTTAATCTTTTCAAAAAACCAGCTCTTGGATTCATTGATTTTTTTGAAGGGTTTTTCATGTCCCTATCTCCTTCAGTTCTGCTTGGATCTTATTTCTGTTTTCTGCTAGCTTTTGAATTTATTTGCTCTTGCTTCTCTAGTTCTTTTAATTGTGATGTTAGGGAGTCGATTTTAGATCTTTCCTGCTTTCTCCTTTGGGCATTTAGTGCTATAAATTTCCCTCTACACATTGCTTTAAATGTGTCCCAGAGATTCTAGTATGTTCTGTCTGTTTTCTCATTAGTTTAGAAGAAATTATCTATGCCTTAATTTTATTATTCACCCAGTAGTCATTCAGGAGTAGGTTGTTCAGTTTCCATGTAGTTGTGTGGTTCTGAGGGAGTTTCTTAATCCTGAGTTCTAATTTGATTGCACTGTAGTCTGAAAGACTCTTTTTATGATTTCTGTTCTTTTACATTTACTGAGGAATGTTTTACTTCTAATTATGTGGTCAATTTTAGAATAAGTGCTATGCAGTACTGAGAAGAATGTATATTCTGTTGATCTGGAGTGGAGAGTTCTGTAGATGTCTATTAGGTATGCTTCGTTCAGCACTGAGTTCAAGTCCTGAATATCCTTGTTAATTTTCTGTCTCATTGATCTAATATTGACAATTGGGTGCTGAAGTCTCCCACTATTATCGTGTGGGAGCCTAAGTCTCTTTGTAGGTCTCTAAGAACTTGCTTTATGAATCTGCATGCTCCTGTATTGAGTGCATATACATTTAGGATAGTTAGCTCTTCTTGTTGCATTGATTCCTTTACCATTATGTAATGCCCTTCTTTGTCTTTTTTTATCTTTGTTGGTTTAAACTCTGTTTTATCAGAGACTAGGATTGCAACCCCTGGTTTTTTTTCTTTTTTTTTTTTTGCTTTCCGTTTGCTTGGTAAATATCCCTCCATCCCTTTATTTTGAGCCTATGTGTGTCTTTGCATGTGAGATGGGTCTCCTGAATACAGCACACTGATGCATCTTGACTCTTTATCCAATTTGCCAGTCTGTGTCTTTTAATTGGGGCATTTAGCCCATTTACATTTAAGGTTAATATTCTTATGTGTGAATTTGATCCTGTCATCATGATGCTAGCTGGTTATTTTGCATATTAGTTGAATGCAGTTTCTTCATAGTGTCATTGGTCTTTATATTTTGGTATGTTTTTGCAGTGGCTGGTACCAGTTTTTCCTTTCCATATTTAGTGTTTCCTTCAGGAGCTCTTGTAAGGCAGGCCTCGTGGTGACGAAAATCCCTCAGCATTTGCTTGTCTGTAAAGGATTTTATTTCTCCTTCGCTTATGAAGCATAGTTTGGCTGGATACAAAATTCTGGGTTGAAAACTCTTAAGAATATTGCATATTGGCCCCCACTCTTCTGGAATGTAGGGTTTCTGCAGAGAGATCCATTGTTAGTCTGATGGGCTTCCCTTTGTGGGTAACCTGACCTTTCTCTCTGACTGCCCTTAACATTGTTTTCCTTTGTTTCAACCTTGGTGAATCTGATGATTATGTGTCTTGGGGTTGCTCTTCTTGAGGAGCATCTTAGTGGTGTTGTCTTATTTCCTAAATTTGAATGTTGGCCTGTCTTGCTAGGTTGGGTAAGTTCTCCAAGATAATATCCTGAAGTGTGTTTTTCAGTTTGGTTCCATTGTCCCTGTCACTTTTAGGTACACCGATCAACTGTAGTTTTGGTATTTTCACATAGTCCTTGTGTTCTTCTCTAAGCTGGTTGTTCTAGTTAGCAGTTCCTGTAAACTTTTATCAAGGTTCTTAGCTTCCTTGTTGCAACCATTTTTTAAATTACCTAATGTTGTAAATCACTTTCTGGCCAAAATACCTAGTTTTAGTTTTCTGTACTAAACCTTGTCTGATGTGTATCTCATGTCCTTCTCTACTTAAAAACTTCAATCCTTATCCACTCTTTGTGGAAAGTATCCAAATAATTAGCATGATATTAATGGATCTATATAACAATAAATACCTTACAATTATAGAAGCATCTTTTATTTTTCCATAAACTCATTCAGCTTGCAAATTAATTTACTCTTAATCCAGTATATTTAGCAGCACACATACGTTTTCTTACATTTCTCTCCTAACTTGTTTACTAAAATTTATCTTCCTTCAAATTCTCATTCTTATTCTCCTCTAATATGATAAACCTCCTATGATTATCCAACAAGAATTGATCTCTTTCTCACTTAAACTAGCATTTCTGTTTCTGTAGTATCACGTGAACCTCTTCAACACTATTCAATTTCAACTCAACATTGATGACTCTCTCCCCCAATTTGCATCATTGAGTACTGAACCCAATAATATGTCAGTACTCAGAATATATATTGAGTACTGAACCATGGGCCAATCATTGTGTTAGGCACTGGAGTGAGGTATAAAAACACAATCTTTGTCTTAATGAACCTTATATCTTAGGATTTAAGTAATCATTAAACAAATCAACCCTAAACTATAAAAATCTCAACTGATCAGTTTGATAAAGAGAAGCATGTGTTATGCTATTACAGGAGAATTTATCTGGTTTGAGGGTTAAGGAAAGCTAGCTATAGAAGTGACACTTGAGGTGGTATCTAAAGGATGAACTGACATTAAATGTGATGGGGAGGAATACTGGTGACATGGTGTGTCAGTATGTCTGTTGCCAAACTGGCAACTAGTAAGGGAATGGAGCCCCTACTCCTTCTTACAGGGAGCATTAGTAGCTGACAGATTCTAATGGAGTTTCCCCCTCACTTTACTTAGGAGATGGAGGAAGCACCTTGGGAATAGGGAATTACCCTCATCAAAGAACACACTTTCCTTTCCATAGGGGCTCACCGCACCCATCCCTTTGAGTGTGTCTTTTCTAGTCCCCAGTTTTCTATACACACACTTACACACACAGAGATTTGAGAGGATGATTGGATTAACTATGAGAAAAATAACAACGAAATATAATACATTTATTGAATACATACCAGGGCCCAGGCACATTTCTATTTGTTTACATCTATGTTGGCATTTAATCTGCACAATCACCCTACGGAGCATTTTTTTTTTTTAAAGCACAGAAAATACCTAGACTTACAAAATCCTGATATAAGCACCATTGAACATTTACCATGGATTAAATATAACTGTTATATACACTTTTTATAGTTATTATGCTCATTTTACTGAGGGACAGGGAGATGAAGTGACTTGTTCATGGTTACATAGCTACTGTGGCCAGAACAGCATTTGAACCAGGCTGATTCAATACAGTACTTGTGCTATTAACCACTCTGTTGCTTTCTAGGACTGATTATGACCCTGCTTAATAAATCTTGCAGGGAGGCTTCTGACCTCTATTTTTGGGGTATCTGTTTAGAAAGTGGGTGCTTAGAAGCTCTTTGTTCACAGCTTTGAGTTCTAATCACTAATTCTGGGTAACAAAAAATTTGCACTCATCATTTTATTATGTATGAGACATTTTCCATCATTCAACACATTTCTGGGTTTTTGTCTTTTCAGGGTAATAGATGCTGATAAATGCATGTTATGGAATATTAAAAATAAAATATGATTAGGAATATGTGCTTTGTGGATAATGTATTATTTTGGATAATTACAGAATTACTAACTTCCATTAATTTGGAATGGTAAGAATGAACTGAACTATAGTAAAAAACTGAACTATAGTAAAAGAAGAATATATATATGTAAATATATATATTCATCAAGAATGAATGAGTAAATATCACCAACATCATTTTGCTGGCAAGAACATCAGCATAATGCACAGCATTTCAGTTAGAGATGTGCCTTGTAGAAAAATAATCTTGCCACACTCTTACAGATTCCTTTGTCATTATGCGAAAAATGTAGAAGCAGCATGGTTTTAAACAGGTCCTGTACTGAATTCTAAAGAAGGATTTCCCTAAAGGAGCATAAGGGTGTTAGTAACACCTCAAAACCCTACGCAAAATTTGTGTTAATTTGTGTACATGTGTTTTACTGGGAGAAAGAGTTCATTGCTCTAAGTTTCTGGAATGGTTCCCCCAAAAGGTTAAGAAATGCTGTTGCAGCATAGCGACATACTTATCAACACTAAACAAATCTAAGACACTATATTCATTCATAATTATAAGAAAAGCATTCATCATTCTCTATTAAATAAAAAAACATAATGTATAAAGATAGACTAATAAAGCATTAAAATAAGCATTGATTTACACACCTTTGTTATGAATGAAGTCAAGATGAGCCTCAGGCAGATTGATCCCGTGGAACTGATTTCCTGGCAGCAAAATTTTCCCTGTATCAGCAGCTGATTTTTGCTTTTTTCCTTTATTCTTATATCTTTTTAGTTGAGGTGATTTCAAGTGAGATAAAGTTCTGAGATCTAATTTTTCTTAAGGTTAAATGTTCGGTTTAAGGTTAAATGTTAAATAAAAAATCCTGAAACCTGTTACATTCCCCCTCAAATCTAATTTTCAGAAGGTATAATTATTGAAGTCTCAGTCATAGCAGAGATAACAGAATAATCTGATAGATAGTCATCTTCATAGCACAAAACTGGTACTTATTCTTAGGTAATGTTAAAAGGTTCATTTATAATAATATTGTTGGTTTTTGAGATTATTTTGTCATCTACTAATTTGTATGACTGAGGAAAAATAAATTTGTCTTAGAATCGAAAGCAAAAATGTAAAAGTAATATATACATATACACAAGATAAGGAATACATTTTAAAATAATTTTAATACATGATATGTTAATGTCAAACTTCACAGATGACACTCATTAATGAAATTTCAGAAAAATAGACCAACCTAGACAATATACCAGAGATAATATATTTGCCTTATTTCTATTTCTGAATAATCTGAATAATATAATACTCAAAATGTCTTTTTTTTCCCCCAAACTTTAGGATTGCTTTTCTGTGAAGAATGTCATTGGGATTTTGATAGGGATTGTATTGTATCTGCAGATTGCTTGGGTAGTATAGACATTTTAACAATATTAATTCTTCTAATCCATGAGCACAGGATATCTTTCCATTTATTAATATCTTCTTCAATTTCCTTTATCAATGTTTTATAGTTTTCATTATAAAGATACTTCATTTCTTTGGTTAAATTTATTCCTAGGTATTTTATTTTGCTGTAGCTATTGTAAATGGGATTTCTTTTTCATATATTTTACTGTTGTATATAGAAATACTACTGATTTTTGTATGATTTTGCATTCTGCAACCATACTGAATTTGTTCATTAGTTCTAACAGTCTCTTGGTGGAGTCCGTAGGGTTTTCTATACAGAAGATAATGTCATCTGCAAACAGGAACACTTTTACTTGCTCCTTTTCAATTTGGATGCCCTTTATTTCCTTCTCTTGCCTAATTGCTTTGTCTACGAGTTCCAGTACTATATTAAAAAGAAGTGGTAAAAGTAGACAACCTTGTCTTCTTCCCAATTTTAGAGAAAAAGCTTTTAACTTTTCCCTGTTCAGTATTATGTTAACGCTGGGTTTGTCATATATGGCCTTTATTGTGTTGAGATACGTTCCTTCTACATATAATTTGTTAAGGATTTTTACCATGAAGTCAAGTTGAATTTTATTGAATGCTTTTCCTGTGTCTATGGAGATGATCATATTATTTTTGTACTTCTATTAATGTAATGTAATGCAAATCAGTGTTTATTGATTTGCATATGTTGAGCCATCTTTGCATCCCTAGGATAAATTCCTCTTTAACCTAATGGATGATCTTTTTGATGTGCTGTTGAATTCACTTTGTTAGTAGTTTGTTGATGCTCATCACGGATATTGTCCTGTAGTTTGCTATTTTTGTTATGTGCTTGTCTGGTTTTGATATCATGGAAATTTATTTTATTTTTTACATCTACAGATAAAATTATATATATTTACTATATACAACATGATGTTTTGAAGTATATATACATTGTGGAATTACTACATTTGGCTAACATGCATTATCTCACATAGTTATCAATATACATATTTCAAAATAAACAAAATCTAAGATGTGTTTTTTAGCAAAACTTATTTCTGCCAAAAGGATTTCAATTAGTATCATTTAAAGATTTTGCTGAGGAAAAAAAAGTTTTCAAACTTAAATGCTGAAAGCAATGATACTCTTTTATTCTGTAATTTTTTCTTTTTTTTAACCATACCAGACAGATGTGTTTTATTAAAAAAGAAACAAAATAATAACCTTTAATCAGAAAGTCTGATTAAATTCAATATTAACTCAAACTCTTAAAAATTTTCTGGAAAAGTCAAAAGGGCACATCACAGAAAAGCAGGCAGCTGCTGACAATTCTTTGGTGGAAAAGTAAGTTGCATACTTACCCAAGCTGCCCAAATGATTATCAAGCCAAGTTTGTTTTTCAAAAATAGGTTTTAAGAGATATCAAAGAAATGATACAATACAAAAATTTAACAATATGACAATACACATAATGTTTAAAATAAGCCTTTAAATCCTAGAAAACTAAAATGGGAAGAACTTACTGAAGGGTAACATACATAAAATAACGCCTAATAGCAAGGAAAAATTCTAAACATTTTCCCAATGACTGACTAAGCTTCAAAATACAGCTTAGAAAACGATTAACATGTAGTTTTCCTTTTTTCCTAGCCGATTCAGTTCTACTTAGATAAATCTGGCTACCAATCAAGACATATATAAATTAATTTTTTTTCTACTCAATTACTACCATTTTTTTCTTTTTCACCTTTTCCCTAATTTTCTCTAGTAACACTTTTCCTTTGGTTTGATCAGTTGAACTCAAAAGGTTTAGTACCTAAAATGAGTATCAACTGTTATTGGAATAGCACTTGGGAAATGCCATTCTAGAAAACGCAAATGTTTAACCGAGGTATTTGACATAAAGTTAAGCATCCATTCTCAACATGACAATGTCTCCCGTGTTAATCACGAGGTTAATGGCTGCTCTTGGCTAGATTACATGACCCTGCATAATACTGTAATGCTCCCTGGTGAGGTACTGCAGAGCTATGTGCACAAACACCTACTCATTTAAGCGTTCAATAAATAGGAAGCATCATTTGAAACCACTGCAGTAGAATAAATTAAAAATAATGCATTTCTATTGGCCTGCTTTGCTTCTTGAGCTGGCTTGGAGTGCTGTTTGTGACATAGAAGACACAATTAGTTAATTAGTGGCAACTTCAAGCTCTTTAGACTTCAACACTTCTCGTTCTTCATGCCTCAGCATTTTTTTTTGCAGTAATAATGGTATTCTTCATTAGCATCACCACTGTTTTGGGGCCAACACCTCCAGGAACTGGAGTGATATAACCAGCTTTTTGTCTGACTCCTTCAAAATCCACATCTCCAACTAACTTGGGTTTGCAGTTACGGGATCTTGAACTCTATTTATTCCCACATTAATGATGGCTGCTCCTTCCTTGATCATATGTGCTGTGATGAGATTTGGAATGTCTGCAGCAGATATTACAATATCTGCAAGAATGGTATGCTTCTTCAGCTGCTCTTTGGGAGTGTATCCATGAGATATTGTAACAGTAGCATCACCTCTGGGACCTTCATGCGCCCCATCTGTGTGCAGTAACATTGCAACTGGCATTTCAACATTTTTTGACCTTCCAGCCACAACCACACTCTTCCCTAGGGTGGGAATGCCAGTTTGCTTAATTATTTCCCACACACCCCATGGGGCAGCTGGTAACGTGGAATACTGGTCCAAACACATTTGCCCTACATTAATTACATAAAAGTCATCGACATCCTTGTCTGGAGAAAGGCATTACAGGTCTTTCTGTCATCAATATGCCTGGAAGAGGCAGCTGAATAAGGCCATCTACATTATTATTCAGTTTATTGATTAAATTCAACAATTCTTCCTCTGAAATTGAAGCTGGTTTCATAATCGTCTCACCATTGATAACCACATCTGCAGCTGCCCTGGTTTTGTTGAGGACATGAGTTACTTGCAGGATTCTCGCTGACCAGGTTCATGCTCAGGTATAGCCATTTGTTACCTGAGGCCACCCACTCTTCCACCTCCTGCCGCACTTCCTGCTTGATCTGCTGGGCCAGTTTCCTTCCAGAAATGACAACAGCTTCATTTCGAACTGCCCCGAGGTGGAAGGGGTGAGGGTGGAGGGAGCAGCGCTGACATGAGGAAGCGGCTGCCATAGCCTGGGCGTTGACCTCGCCAGGAGGACTATTGTGTAATTTTCTATCAGACCTTCAAAGTATTTTTATTCTCTTTCTTGTATTTTAGTAGTTACAAATATTTTCTTGGTCATTACTGATTTTTATTCCCTATATTGTGGTGGAAATGTTTATTCTTATATATGGATTTTTGCATTTTCAGGTTAAAATCTTACTCGGTGAAATCTAATTTTTTTTTTCCAGAGTTAAGCACAAAAGGGGAAAGATCAGTCTATAATAGAATGATGTAGTGAAACCTTAGCAGAAAAATATCTGGCAGTAGAAACAGAGGTGCCTCTCTGAGAGCTAAAGGTTATGTTTTAACTCTAAGCTATTTATTCTCCATCACTAATGAAGTTGAAAAAGAACTTTTTAAAAGTACTTGCTATGTTTTTCAAATCAAATTATGTATATCTACATTAGTAAACATAGGCACATATAATACACAGATAAGTTACTTTATTTAATAGTTCCTTGCTATTGGAATATTGATTCAACGCATAATTTAAGTGTGTAATAAGATCTTAGTTTTGTCTCCTTTTTCCCAGATCCATTTTCTTCTAGTGAAACTAGAAAAATAGGACTTTCAGGACTTCCCCATCTCCATTCATCCATCCACTTTAAATCTTTAATTTAACAATATTTTTAGTATTATTTATTCATGAATTCATTTATATAACAAATATTTCTTATTTTCTCCTGCCTGATACTATGCTTATTTCTGGTGATACAATAAGGAGAAACAGAGAATCCCTGTCTTCATGGAACTTGGAATCTATATAGGGAGACAGATGTTGTGATTGTCACTTAATCATAACCCATGTTATATTGTGATTAATGGTACAGAGGTGTTCGGTGGTTTGGCTGAGGAATCTGAAGTAGAACTGAGATGAATGGAGGTTAGTAAGGGAAAGAAAAGACAAGCATGTAAAAAGAAAAGTTAGAGGTATGAGAACAGCAAGGCTGAAACAGTGCAAGACGTGTGGCAGACAATGAGGATAAAAAGGTTGGGAGACTTCAAACCAGACAGGGCCTTACTAGCCACATTGTTTTTCAAGGTTTTTGTCCAACTGTTTTCCTCTTGATCCCATATAATAATGGAAAAACACTGAAGCAGTAGGCAATGTAGAAACATTGCTTGACTTGTATTTTGAGGAGATCACTTAGCTGCACTTTTGGGAATACTGGAGAGACACTGAAGAGTTTATGGGAGAAGTAGTTCATGGGAGAGATGATGGTATTTTCGACCAGGGTTATTACGGTGGAGAAACAAAGAAATGACTAGAATTAAGAGGTTAGTATTAGTAGGGAAAAATTGACTTTGTTGGTGAATTGGAAAGGGTGGTGAGGGAAAAAATGGTCAAAGATAACTGCTACTTAGATGGACAGTTACACACGTTAAAATATGTTACACTAAAAAGGGGGGATACGATTGTCTTAAGTTTGGTTTTGAATATATAAATATATGTAAGTGTTATCAGCAATCCAAGAGGAGATGGCAAGTAGGCAGTTAGATGTGTCTTGAATTAGAAATATAAATTTCTGAGTTATGTGCATACAGAAGAAAATGAATCTTCATGTGTTAAATGAGATTGATTAGGGGAAAAAAATATACAATGAGGAGGAGGCCCAGGAGCTACCCTTGATTAACTCCAATATTAAATGGACAAATTTCAGCATAAATCCGTGTTTTATTTGGCCCATAAAAGAAATGTTCTTGGAGGAATTGGCTGGTAGCATTTATATAATGGGAGATTACACATAAAATTCCACATTCCTAGCTTCTCTTGAAAACCAGAAGCTATGACCATATTGATCTGGTATTCTAACTGAAACACAGGTGGCCAAAGTGGAGAAGCAGCTAACCTCCCTTAGATGCAGCATGCATTTTGCAGTTATTCACAATATCCACCACTCCCTATTCTCCATCACCTCTCTGGGTGGGCTGCCATTTGTTGTCACAATTTGTGGTTTTCCAAAAGCCCAATTCCATTACCTGTCTGCCCTGTTGCGTGTATTCAAATTTGTGGGGTCTGCATAGACTTTAAATTCTTCTAAAGTCTAGGTGGCAATAAATACCTGTAAACATACACTTATTGTATGCTGTGATAAGAACTCAAGTAGACACATACTGAAAGTCCTCGAGTAACAGAGGAGGGAGTCAATTGCTCTGCCTGGAAAAATAGAGGAAACCTAAGGAGGAGCGGTGTATTTTTCTCCAGCCCTGAATGACATCTAAGATTACTTTTTGTTGGTTTTATTTTGCTTTATCTTAAGAGAGAAATGGGAATAAAATTCGGAGAAAATAAAATTTTATAAAGTCATAGATGTTTCCTGGGAGTCAATTAAAAATTTGCTGTATGGGAGAAGAGAGACCAAATTTGGGAAGAAGGTCAAGATGGATTCTGAGAGATAATTTATGACAGGATGAAATAGAAATCCCATCCTTTAAGCACTAGAGAGCCATGGGGAAAAAATAAAGTTGTGAAGTGACTCTCTGATGGGTAATCTTAGCCCTGTTATATCTGTTTACAAGATAAGGATGCATCTTCCATGTTTTTAATCATTTTATAGAGCCACCCACCTACTTTGTGTTGTGTGTTAAACACGAACTTGCTTCAGTTCAGATACCAATAATTTGTTCCACACTTTTTGTCTTGATTCTTAGAAGCAGACTATTCATGTGGAACAGAACTTTCCTTAATCTAAAGGCCATTCAGTCATTCAAACCAATAAACTTTCTTCTCCAGTTTAACTTCCAAGTTCAAAATTTTTTAGCCTCTAGAAACCAAATCTTTTCTATTTATCCAAACATCTACTCAAATAATTTTTAAAAATAAATTATTTAATTATATTGTAATAGTACATATTTAATATTTATAAAATAACTTATTTCTGTGAGATAATCAATATTTCTCCTAATTAACAAATTAAAATTCTAAGTAATTCAAAAACATTAGGCCCATTAACATATATCATTATTTTATTAAGACAAACTAATTTTAGCTTCTAAAAATAAGATGTAGACATTGATAGAATGGGAAAATAAAATGTAATAGCACAAGGGCAAATGCCAGTTTTTGAATTATATATAGTGATGATTCATGGGCAGAACCATAAATCTTAAATAATAGAGCACATTTATCTTGAGAGATTGTCACGAGCATATGGAACCTGCAGGTGTTGCAGTGACTAATGACTACTCATAGACCAGAGTGAAATCCCAGCTTAATGTCTAGGTTCACGTATGTGTGTACACGATGAAAACTATATCATTAGAGCTTTTTGGTTTACTTTGTTTTTGTTTTTCACTAATTTGTAAGCTCCAGAAGAGAGAAAACTAGTGCTGAATAAATCAGATATCAAGTGATCCCTTTATTTAAAAGATATGTTTTCCAAAACATAGAATGGCCATGTTCCAAATTACAAGCCTGTGTGTATATGCCTCTGCGTGTGTGTATGTGTGTCTGCACACATTTGTGTGTATTTAAATGTACAGACAATAACCCTAGTAGTCTCTCGTGCCATTGTGGACATTTGAACCAGTTTCTTTGTGGTAGTTTATTTTTAACACACAGAGGGGTTTTTTAAGGAATGCTTAACAAAATGAAGCTAGCTGGGTAAATAGAGAAAAGTACACAGGAAGATGTAATCTGACACAATATCTCCAGATTTGAGCTGGATGGCTGAGTTATTTTAGATATTAAACATAGAAGGTGAGGCCTAATATAGAGGTGCTGCTAATGAATTTTGAGGAACAGAACTAATTTAAATCCTTCCATCTCTGTAGTGCTCTTACATGGCTAGCAGAGAGAGCCCACATTTAAAAGCTGATGGAGTATTTTTCCCTTCAGGAAGTTAGCTATAGGGTATATATTGACTACCTGAAACAACAGGGCTCAAACCAAAGTGAAAGGAAAAAAAAATCCCTGCTCAGAAGCAAGAGAGGAGAACCAACAGTGTGTGAAGATCCCTGCCGTGCTTTTCTGTTCTCTGTGAAACGGAACGTATAGAAAGCCGCCTGGTTTTTGTTTCATCAACTCCACTGGATCCCTCTCGCACAAAGCTTTCAATATCAGGACAGCCTTGGGGGACTTCACTTATAACAATTCCTTCAGGATCACTCTTCTTGCTAAACCAGTCAGGTTATTTTTAGGTCTTAAGAGCAAGGGTTCCAGGTGAGGAACAAAACAGACTGAAGGGTAGGACTGTGGGAAGATTTCAGATTCAGCCACTGAACGCCCAGTAAATAGAGGCAATTATGTATAACCCCTCCTACATTTAATTTACTTTAAATATAGTTTTATGCATTTTACTTTAAAATAGAATAAATCTTCTGGAGTAGTTTTGTATGCAGAAAAAGAAAGAGGACAAATTTAGAAAACAATGACCCCTGACCCCACCAAAAAAAAAAAAAAAAAAAAAAAAAAGCCAAGATATTATAGTGGGTTGTAAGCCTCATATCTATCAGATTTAATTTTTTCTCCTAAGAGGAAGTCAGTTCTGACAGCCTAAGCCTAGATTATCTTTGGCCTTAGACCAAATTCTTCTATGTGTCTGCAATTTGATTCTTGTTGATTTATCCCAGGGGTTTTTTCCAGATGAATAATTAATTAGAGTCCATGTCAATTTTCTATGGTCATTGAGTACTGTCAAAATCTTCCTAGAATACAACTTGTGATTTGTAAAATGTGAATTGTTACATATTCTATTCTCCTTGCAATTTTAAGGTTGTCTATATTCATGTGAGATTTGTCATTAAAAACTCAGTTAGTTGTCTAAGTATAACCCCTAATACACTTTCCATGTTCAAATCTCTTTTTTATCACTTCAGTACCTCAGGAAACTTGTATTGTAGCTTAAACAGTTTGGATTTTATTATTTTACTATGACTCAGTAACCACTTAGCACCCATGATACATTAGATTGTAAAAATGTAGTTATTGTCTGCTTTTATAAAATTTAAAATTTTTATTTGATGGATACATTCTAGGAATTTTTTTTTTTTTTTTAACTAGGAAACAGTGACATAGTTTGGCTTTGTGTCTCCACCCAAATCTTATCTTGAATTGTAATCCCCAGGAGTTGAGGGAGGAACCTGATGGGAGGTGATTGGATTATGGGGACGGTTTCCCCCATGCTATTCTTGCGATAGTGAGTTCTCACAAGATCTGATGGTTTTATAAGTGTTTGGCAAGTTCCTCCTTCACTCTTCTGTCTTTCCTGCCGCCTTGTGAAGAAGTTGTCTGCTTCCCCTTCAGCATGATTGTGAGTTTCCTGAGGCCTCCCCAGCCATGCAGAGCTGTGAGTCAATTAAACCTATTTCCTTTATAAATTACCCAGTCTTGGGTATTTCTTTATAGCAGTGTGAGAACAGACTAATACAAACAGCATATAAATAAATGATTGTATAAATAGTGAAATCAAATAATTAGAAAATGGAGATACAAAACCCACTTATGATTCTTGTTCTAAAATACAAAGGATGTTTCTACAACTTTCCTCAGTAATCTTAATAAATTTTTATCATTTGTACATTAAGAATAATTGTAGTTGCAGCTAACATATTCTATATATTTTTAAAAAGTTTACTTCCCCAAAAAATCGTTTTTAAAAAGTCTTTTTGTTGAGTCTCATTTTTCAAATTATCTTTTATTTTGACTTTTGCAACACATTTAAAGTTTTAAATTCTTTCTTAGGTAAGAAACTGAAATCAATTTCATTAAGGGTTCAATCAGTTTGAATATGAAATGTTCTATAATTCATTTCATTCTTATCTCACAAACTTTTCCACTTTCATGTCATTGACAAACTGTATGTATAATATTACTGACTTAGATTCAGTTAGCTCATCAAAATATGTAAAAATTCTTATGTGTTATTTATTATATTGTTTGGTTTTTCTTATATTGTTCTGTTTATTTCTCAAATGTACTAATATAGATGACAGTCATGTGACTAGATAAAATGTTGTAATATTTACTTGGAATTCACAACCCTCTACTCCCTATTCTCTTTTCCATTTTTCCTAGTCTGTAACATGTATTTTTCATTTTCCAACACTAATAAACATTGAAGACAAATGGATTTACTGTGCTTGTGTCCTAAATTCTATATATATGTGCTCCTTCTTCTCCACGGCTTTCTGCTCTTTTTCTTCTCATGTTTTCATCTAAGATAGCCTTTCCTTTCCTCAATATCATCTGTGAAGTTTTTACATCATCAACCTGAAGAAATATCTCCATATCTAAACTGTCATAGCAACTATTTGGTAAGTTAATTTGATCATTCTTTGATTAAACAAGGTTTCTTGAGCACCTATGTGTCAGACACTTTTCTAAATACTGCAAATATAACAGTGAATAAATAAAAAGACATATCCATGTCTTGAGCCAGGTGCATGGCTCACGCCCTGTAATCCCAGCACTTTGGGAGGCCGAGGCAGGTGTATCATTTGAGGTCAGGAGTTCAAGACCAGCCTGGTAAACATGGTGAAACTCTATCTCTACTAAAAATGCAAAAATTAGCCAGGCATGGTGGCGCACATCTGCTGTCCCAGCTGCTTGGGAGGCTGAGGGAGGAGAATTTGTCGAATCCAGGAGGTGGAGGTTGCAGCGAACTGAGATCGCACCACTGCACTCCAGCTTGGGTGACAGAATCAGACTCTGTCTCAAGAAAAAAAAAAGAAAGAAGAAGAAGAAAGAAAAAGAAAAAGAAAACCTATTTCTTATTTCTTAATGAAACTTTCATTGTAATGAGTGAGACAGATCATAAAGCAAATACATAAATATGTAATTGAAAGGTGATAATAGAAATAAAGTAGATAAAGGTGATAGAAAGTGAGCTTTTATACGTGGTGGGGAGAGTTGCTTCTAGTGTCCATTTTTTTCCTCATGTTTTCTGTCAAGTTCTACCTTCCTAAATGCAGGATTATTTTGGATTGAATGCCAGATTACATATGAGGAGTGGTTTAAATAATTTGAGGCTCTGATTATAATCCAGTGACGGCTAGTCTGTTTTCATTCCACTACTACTGAAAGACTAGGAGCGCTTTCAGGTTCTGGGAAAAAAGTCTCAAGTTTTGAACTCCAATTTTTCCTCCCCAGCCCTGTGGGGCAGCCAAGAGTTCTGCACAGTGGCACAGCATCCCAGCTACCTCTCGTGGAGTTAGTTGCCATGTGATGCCCACCATTGTTGGAAGTGGAATGAGCAGTGGATGAGGGGAGCTTTTAAATAGGGAGGTCAGAAAAGCCCTCTGACCTGTACGTGCTATACTAATGCAACTTGTTAGTTTTTAAGCAATTGCAGTGATCCGTGGGATCCTGATGGGGAGCTGCGGCTTCTTCAGCAAAGTCTTGATCTTTGAGAGGATGGTCATTTCTCACCTCTGCAGCATGGACTCTTTGCGGTCTGTTCAGGCTTTTTGGACAGAGGTTATACGCAGTAACACCCATTGCACTTTGGGTTTCCCTCACTTTATCTGGTGCACCTGTTCGCAGTTGGAATCTATGTAAGGGGAGGTGAAAACATACCTGAACTTCCTCCTTTAGCCTGCTGTTTCCTTCCTCCTCCCACGATTCCCCAGAAGCCCAGAAGCAGAAGAGACAGACATTATTACTCTTCCCTGAAAGAATCTCCTATAACACAGAGCAGTCGGCTGTGTGCCTGAGGTATTGGGAGAGGACTGTGGAGGAATCCTTGGTGCTGGATCTTCTGACTTATTTAGTAAACCACCTTATTAAAAAACCAGGCAGACTACTATCTTGGAAAAGAAGATTTTTTTTTTTTTTTTTTGGAGACAGAGTCTCGCTCTGTCACCCAGGCTGGAATGCAGAGGCGCGATGTCAGCTCACTGCAACCTCCGCTTCCCGGGTTCAAGGGATTCTCCTGCCTCAGTCGCTCGAGTAGCTGGGATTACAGGCGCCCGCCACCTCGCCTGCTAATTTTTGTATATTTTGTACAGACGAGGTTTCGTCATGTTGGCCAGGCTGGTCTTGAACTCCTGACCTCAAGCGATCCACCCGCCTCAGCCTCCCAAAGTGCTAGGATTACAGGTGTGAGCTACCATGCCTGGCCAGAAGATACATTTTTACCCATTTCTCCAGCCCCATTGCTCTTGAGTGACAGTCCTTCAGCCTGGCTTTAGAGATGGGAGACCACAGATAGAACCTTTTTTTAATGAAGGAAGTAAAAATACATCAATTTATTCTTTACATAATATTAATCCTGACAAACTAGAGAAATGTTCCTGCTGAATAATGTCCTCTTAAATGTGACTTCTTAGGTTGATCTGATTGTGACGTTTCTACTCAGGAAATTGTTTCACCACTTAAATCCCAATAACCTATGTGAGAATGTTGTTTCAGCACCACCAAAGGTCAGTCAGAATGCAATAGTTTAAAATGAGTCATCATCTATTAAGTATTCTAGAGAGAAATGCTTATTACAACATTTACTTTTTAAAAAACTTTGATCCAAAAGATTTTGTCAAACCCCAGCAAGTATAACTTGCTACAAAGGGAACAGGTGTCTTTATTTATTTATTTATTTATTTTTTGAGACAGACTCTGGCTCTGTCGCCCAGACTGGAGTGCAATGGCGCGATCTCGGCTCACTGCAAGCTCCGTCTCCCAGGTTCACACCATTCTCCTACCTCAGCCTCCCGAGTGGCTGGGACTACAGGCACCTGCCACCACGCCCGGCTAATTTTTTTTGGTATTTTTAGTAGAGATGGGGTTTCACCATGTTAGCCAGGATGGTCTCGATCTCCTAACATCATGATCTGCCCACCTCGGCCTCCCAAAGTGCTGGGATTACAGGCATGAGCCACTGCACCCGGCCCGGAACAGGTGTCTTTTACTGACTGGTTTTGTTTCCTAGATTTGCACAAACCCTAGTACTATGTAACTCGGCAGAGTATTGATGTAGAAAGTAGACTCACCACATATTTTCTGCAGATTTTAATTACAACAACGTTTATCCCCTCTAGTGCAATATTAATCCCTATCTCCATCATCAAGTATTTATTGAGTTTAAACTCATGTAACTGCAAATGAGTGGGATAATAAAGCATACATAGACACGGGCATGGAATAGACTACAAGTATAATGGGCATTTGGGAACCTGGGCAGTGAGACTAGGGGGCTAATTGTTCTAGGTAATAAGGATCATAAAGTTCAATGATTCCTAGGAAAAGAGGCACTCTCTCCATGTTATATTAAGTGCATGGGCTTTGGAGAGAGACTGCTGGGATCAAATGCCATCTCTGTCATTTACTGGCTATGTGACTTTGGGCAAGTCACAAAAGATCCATTGTTACACTAGAGATGCTGTCATAGTGGATAATGTCCTTGTAAATGTGACTCCTTAGGATTGATCTGATTATGCATCTCCACTCAGGAGATTTTTCTCACCAATTAAATCTTAATAACTTCTGTGAAAATCTAGCTCCAGTGCAGACTTTTATTTCTTTAATTTCTCTACATCCCCCAGCTCTCTAAGTTATAAAATGGAGATAATGATAATGCTTTCCTTTTTGGGCTATCAGAAAGATAAAATGAATCATTGTTTGCAATGCATTTAGAACAGTGCCTGAAACACATTACATACTATATAAATACAAATCTATGTATTCCCAGGAGCTGCCATTTTTCTACTAAAACCCCGGTATTGTATGAAACACTCTTTAATTCCATAGAGGACAAAGCAGAAGTAAGTGTTTGCAGGGCTAAAAAAAACTATGTACAGAATATATACAGTTTCCTTGACAATAAACAGCTATAGAAAGCTTATGGTCCTTATTGAAGGAATGCAAGCTTACTTAAATTCTGGCAGCGCTGAGACCTATGCATAGCTAGAGATAAAACAGACAAAAATTCTGAATACACCGTCCAGACTGCAAGCAATTGTCTCTCCAACTGACAGTAAATGCCATGGCATAAAAAGCAAGTATTCTTATGCAGACAGAGCAGATGATCCTCCTGGGACTTAGAAGAGGCCAGTAGGTGGTGCAGAGCTAAAAGATGAAAGAAGGTTGAAATCTGAGTAGGAATATCACGAAGGGCTATGTGTTTTCACTGAACCCTCAGTACAAACCTTTCATAAATTAATACTGTAACCATACTATGATATATTTCTGGTTTGCTTCATCTGTATTTACACACATAAACACACACACACACTGCTTATGTTAACTGCTTAAATGATTAAGTGTTTTTCATCTTATAGAGTCCTTCAGTCACTTTTAGTAAATTCCTTTTGGATAACTAAACATTCAAGAGCAACTTCTTTTACGTAATGTTATAGACAGGTGCCTGAATTAGGAGAACCCGAAAATAGGCACTCCACATACACTTTATAAAATGATGCCTTCATGACAATGTTCCTCATGAGATTGCAAATGTTCATAGAAATTTTAAGGTATTGGGGGGAGTTTGTAAAAAGGAGTATACAGTGTTATTTGTACAGTTTTAATACTACATTTATTGCTCTGAAATAAAATTATAAAAAATATTTTTTTCTTGAGCATCTAAACATTTATTTTAAATTTGATTGTATTCATTAAACAATTATAAGTTGCTATGATTAAGTCTTCAAACCCCTTAGACAGTAGATAAACAAAAATGATTTGTAAAACTTATTAAGTATATGTATATGCCTCTTCTTTAAAAATCAGCACAATGGGCTTATTACATTTCTTACTTTTTCCAGTACTGTTTTTGTATTTTTCTGGTATCATTGCCACTCTTATTTTGAAAACCTCTTAGGGATTCAGTGATATCATCTTGATTTCTTCTGATGATTTCAGTGATGCATGCAGAGCCGCATCACACAAATAATACTTTCTCAGACTCTCTGAGGTTGTAGAGACTTAGCATAAGATCAGTAGATTATTTTGGAGTGACAAGAATGAGTTTGTGGTGATGATTGCACAATTTTGTGAACATATGGAAAACCATTGAAATGTATACTTTAAATTGGTGAATTATATCTCAATAGAATTATGAAAAAAATAGCCAATCAATTCTTGGTTGCGTCTCCCAAGGGTATTCAAAATCTAGGCACTAATCATCATGTAACTTCCTTTTACTAGCCAAATTTTGGCTAGTTCTGTCAATATGGATTTTTAAGTCCACACCTTTCATATGTTTTATAATTTTGAGCCTGGTATCTTTCCCCCCAAAATGATTTTTTGAAAGTCTTATTTGGCCAGTGTATGGCATGTAGTTATAATTCCTTAGAGGATTTCAATTCATAGGATCATCAAAGGTTTGACCTTCTGGGAAATCAGGAAGGAATCTGAGTAGAGAGGCTCAAAGGAAGATACCTGTAGAACAGGGGTCCCCAACCTCCAGGCCATGAACTCATACCGGTATGTGGCCTGTTAGGAATCGGGGTACACAGTAGAAGGTGAGCAGGGGGCAAGCGAGTGAAGCTTCATCAGTATTTACAGCCGCTCCTCATCACTGGCATTACCGCCTGAGCTCCACCTCCCACCAGATCAGCAGCAGCATTAGATTCCTAGAGCAGCACAAACCCTATTGTGAATTGTGCACGCAAGGGATCCAGGTTGTGCACTCCTTATGAGAATCTAATGCCTGATGATCTGTCATTGTCTCCCGTCAACCCCAGATGGAACTGTCAAGTTGCAGGAAAACAAGCTCAGGGCTTCCACTGATTCTACATTATGGTGAGTTGTATAATTATTTCATTGTATATTATAATGTAATAATAATACAAATAAAGTGCACAATAAGTGTAATGCACTTGAATCATCCTGAAAATATCCCCCATCCCAACCCTGCTCCATGAAAAAATTATCTTCTCAGAAACCAGTCCCTGGTGCCAAAAATGTTGGGGACTGTTGCTGTAGAATGTTTGGTAGTATAGTGGTCAGGTGCACTGTCCCTAGAGCCAAACTACCTAGAGTTAAATCCCAGCTGTGCATCCTGTTAATTGTGTGATCATGAGCACATTATACAACCTCTGTGTCTCAGTTTTCATTTGTGAAATGAGAATAATAACAAAATCTAACTCACACAGTTATTAGAAGGATTGAATGCATTAGCATGCATAAAGCATGAGAACATAGTAATTTGCCACTATTATGGTATTAGTAAGAACTTTATACTACTAATGATCATTATTTATTAATACACAATACCTTTCTACCCATCATCACTTTCTTGACTCTCCTTATAGTTGGTTACTTTTTGTGACCACCAGTATTAGTTCTTCCTGTTCTTGGTGTAGTGACTATTTCCCATGCACTATTTGATTTACTCATTGTTCTTTAGATTTAGGCTTGCATTAAACAGATTGAAACATATTTATATGTGTATTTCTAAAACCGATATATAAAAGCACTATACACATAAAAATGAATGGTCCACTAAACTACATATTATAATGAATGTAAAAGCTAGTCATGTCTTATTTACCTTAGTTTTGTTTGACCATTCTGTTTCCACAAACTTTATAACTTCTCTTTTGAATATTATATGCCCATACCTTTTGTAGACTCAATGTGTACCAGTTGTCATCTTCATTATGATCAACATTATCATTAGTATAATTTTATTGCTCTAATGATCAAATTTGAAACTGGTTGGGGCAATGTGGCGAGACCCTGTCTCTACAAATAATAAAATAAAATAAAATAAAATAAAATAAAATAAAATAAAGTAAAATAAATTAGCTGGGCATGGTGGCATGTGCCTATAGTCCCAGCTACTTGGGAAGCTCAGGCAGAAGGATTTCTTGAGCCCAGGAGTTCGAGGCTACTGTAACCTATGATAACCCCACTGAATTTAAGCCTGGGCAACAGGCTCTTTTTAAAGAGACGATGTCGTTATACGATAGCATCTAATCGTTATCAGTTTAAAGAAATCTCACATAAATTCAGAGCAAATCTAACTTTTAAAAGGTTTCCTCTGCAGCAATGTGCTTTTGTACCATTTCTAAAGAAAAACTGATTTGGTAAGATTATTACCACTATAAATATAGACATAAATGTAGAAAAATCTTTCTTAGTATACCAGTTTGGCAACAAATAATGTGGGAATTACATATCAGAAGTAGAAAACTGGGATCAAACAGATTTTAATTAAAATTCTGGCTCAGCACCTACTGGCTCTATGACTCAGGGCAAGTTTACCTAATCTTTGTAAACTTTACTTTCAAAACAGAAACAACAACATCTGCCTCTTAGACTTATTGTGAGGATTACATGAAATAACATTTAAAATGACAGTGAACAAGGCTAGCACTTGCCATCTATGGACGTTATTAAATACTTTTTATTTATGAATGTATTATATGATTCTATAAAGTCCTTCTTCCCTGCTTAGAGTAACAGTATCATTATAGGTAAAATTCTTTCCCTCGAGTGTAGTGAACTGTGATAGTCCCCAAGATCTGGCATTTTTGGAAGCTTATTACGGGGACTACAAGTGGTAGTAGTGGAAGAGAGTTAAGAGAGCTCCAGACAGATCTCAGGTGATAGCTACTCTCTCTTACAGAAAAATCTCTTGATGTGAATTTTGTTTTGTTTTGTTTTTTTGAGACAGAGTTTCATTCTTTTGTTGCCTGGACTGGAGTACAATGGCGCAATCTCGGCTCACTGCAAACTATGCCTTTCAGGGTTCAAGCGATTCTCCTGCCTCAGCCTCCCGAGGAGTTGGGATTACAGGCATACGTCACCATGCCTGGCTAATTTTTGTATTTTTAGTAGAGACGGGGTTTCGCCATGTTGGCCAGGCTGGTCTCGAACTCCTGACCTTGGGTGATCCGCCCTCCGCGGCCTCCCAAAGTGCTGGGATTTCATGCATGAGCCACCACGCTGGGCCTCTTCATGTGACTTTGAAACAGACTTTTAATTTATGGAAATATTAAACAGAGTGGAAAAGACACATGGGATTATTTGGGCTAATATATATGGCTTATATGTTCAAGATAAAGCCTTGAACATATAAGAATAATAAAATATTTTCATTATCTCATTTAATCTTTTCAAAATTTAGGTTAATAATTTCTTGTCTAAATTTATTGACGTTTGGCCGGGCACGGTGGCTCATACCTGTAATCCCAGCACTTTGGGAGGCCGAGGCGGGCGGATCATGAGGTCAGGAGATCGAGACCATCCTGGCTAACACGGTGAAACCCCGTCTGTACTAAAAATACAAAAATTAGCCGGGCGTAGTGGCGGGCGCCTGTAGTCCCAGCTACTCGGGAGGCTGAAGCAGGAGAATGGCTTGAACCCGGGAGTCGGAGCTTGCAGTGAGCCGAGATCCCGCCACTGCACTCCAGCCTGGGCGACAGAGCGAGACTCCGTCTCAAAATAAAATAAAATAAAATAAATTTATTGACGTTTAATAAGATGCTAGTTGTCTAAATTTATTGACTTTTAATAAGATGTTGCTATGTGAGTTAATTTACGTAAAGCACTTTAATGATATTAATAAAAGACATTAATTTTTTTGTATGGTTCAGCTGGGCCCTCAAGAACTGCTATGAATCTTGGTTTGGGGGAAATATTTACTAAACAATAATGGCTCCCATTTAGTGTCACAATAAAGGGTACTTGAGGTTTGAGAATTTCTTCCTAAAAATGTGGTGTTAAACATTAGGTGCTGGCGCCCCTTAGCGTACACATGGATTATTACAGCTACATTGATATTCACCTTTGTCTTTGGTACTTTGAATGTGAATAAACCTCCAAAGATCTGTGAGAAAATATGCTAATATAGAAATCCCCAAAATATATGTGTTAAGAATAACCTCTACACCACTGCCTCCTTTGTGATCGTTTTAATAATCCTTATGCTGTTTCCATATTGTTAGATATCTCCTATTCAGAGAGCACAATAGATTCAATTTAGGTCTTGATGCCATATTTTCCGGTTACTGTTGTGCAATGTGGGTAAACTATGATAAAATAGGTTGTCCTTGGTGTCCAAATCTGGCCTAGATTCCTAGATTGCCCTAGGTAAGGCCATCATCATTTTAAATTGGTTTCTTATTCAAAATAGGCACTGTCCTGCTGTAGGTTGAGAATATTCTATTGTGCATTTCTTATTTAAAAAAAAAATCAAAGTTTGATTCACTGTGAATGGTAATGAAAAAACTAGATTAAGGAGAAAATGTAGAAATTTGTCATTGCTCCTATATTTTGCAGTTAACAGTTTATTAGAAACTTATTTAGCTAAGGAAATGTTTTCATCAGTTATCTCAAATTCAATGCTAAGTTCTTGTTATTCTGATTTTTCTTGCATTCTTCATATTGTTCCTTATAGTTTTTATTAATGCTGTTCACCAAGTATTTCCAGTTCTCTTCCTGAGCACATGGTAGAATTATACTGTCCTCCTGTGAATTACACGTTAGCTATGCAGCTTGTTTTAGCCAATGAAATGCTAGTGAAACTATACATTTTACATGGGGGGGTAAAATTTTGAAGCCAATTATTTGCCTTTCTCTCCCTCTTTCATGATGACAAGAGTATTCCAGATGGAGGCTACTTTGTGTCCCAGGAGGAAAATAATGCAGTGTAGAGACCCCAAATGACCCGTAGCTGAAATAGAGCATGAATGAGAACTTAAACCTTTGCAGGTTTTTGAGACAGAGTCTCGCTGTATTGCCAGGCTGGAGTGCAGTGCCGTGATCTCGGCTCACTGCAACCTCCGCGTCCTGGGTTCAAGCGATTCTCCTGCCTCAGCCTCCCAAGTCGCTGGGACGACAGGCATGCGCCACCATGACCAGCTATTTTTTTTTTTTGTCTGTATTTATTAGTAGACGAGGTTTCACCATGTTGGCCAGGTTGGTCTTGATCTCGACCTTGTGATCTGCCTGCCTCTGCCTCCCGAAGTGCTGGGATTACAGGTGTGAGCCACCGTGCCTGGCTACCTTTGCAATTTTAAGCCATAGAGATTTGACATGGTTCTTTACTGTAGCATAACATAGCCTATCATAACAGATACATTCCTCTTCTTAGATGTACCTATTTTTAAAAAATTCCATTAATATGAATTATTGTTTTTGTAAAGTTTTTTTTAAAAAAGATAATCCGTATATTCATAATCATGACGATTAATAATTCACCACCAGTATTACAAACTGAGTTGTTTTTTCTATTAGTAGCAATAGGTTGTAGCTGGTTGTTAAAATATTTTCTTGAATGTGATGAACTAAATTTTGAGATGGCCTAAAAGGTAAAGATGACAAATGTCAGTTTGACTTTGCCCAGAATGTCCTGAAGAATGAATTTCTTTTTTATTTCCCTAGTATTCATTTAAACAGAAGTATACATTTTATGTCCATAAAAAGTTTATGAAATATAAAATTCTAATAATCCTTGCTAAACAAATATGAATATGATCAACCATTATACCATTAACTTTTAAGAAATCTGTCTTAACTTTGAACTGCCCTGGATTAAATCTGATATATCTAGAATCAAGAGAATCTGCAATGTTAAAAGTAACAGCATAAATATTCAGAAATATTACCACGTCATACAATTGTATAACCAACGTTTTTTTTTTTTCCTTGTGGACAAATATGTAACTGGAGGACGTTTATATTTAGTTGCTTTTGGCTTCGGCACTTGCAGATACATAATTATCTTATTTTCCTTTTGTATTTTATTCTTTTTTATTACTTTTCAACAATAATTCATTCAGCTAGGCGCGGTGGCTCATGCCTGTAATCCCATCACTTTGGGAGGCCCAGGTGAGTGGATCACTTAAGGTCAGGAGTTCAAGACCAGCCTGGCCAATATGGCGAAACCCTGTCTCTACTAAAAATACAAAAATTAGCCAGGCGTGGTGCATATGCCTCTAGTCCCAGCTACTCAAGAGACTGAGGCAGGAGAGTTGCTTGAATTCAGGAGGCGGAGGTTGCAGTGAGCCAAGATCACACCATTGCACTCCAGCCTGGCCAACAAGAGCGAGACTCTGTCTCAAAAAACAAAAACAACAACAACGAAACACTAACTTAATTCATTCATTCCACAAATAATCACTAAAAGCTTGCCATATACCACATACTGTTCAGTATTATGATTATTTAATTATTACCTCAGCTTTCTTTGAAACCGGTGCAAGATAAAAATGGCATTCTATAGCTCTGAAATCTAGATATGGCTGTTTCTGTAAGAGGTAAAATTTTCTAATAATTTTAATATTATAGATTTATTTTTACTGACATATAATTTACATGCAATAAAACAGATTTCGAGCATACTGTTTAATATGTTTTGAGGAATGTGTACACCTATAAAACTACCACTCCAGTGAAGTAATAATGGAATAAACTTCATGAGAATTGCTAAAATCACAAAAATTGGTACGACCAAGATTTGATAAGAAAGTATAATAATTGAAACTCTCATACATTGCTGGTAGAAGTGTCAAATAGCACAATCACTTTGGAAAATTGTCACTTTCTTTTTTTCTTTTTCTTTTACAGATAGGATCTCACTCTGTCGTGCAGGCTGAAGTATGATGGCTTTTTTTTTTTTTTTTTTTTTTTTTTTTTTTTTTTTTTTGAGACAGAGTCTCGCTCTGTTGCACAGGCTGGAGTGCAGCAGTGCGATCTCGGCTCACTGCAAGCTCTGCCTCCTAGGTTCACGCCATTCTCCTGGATGGCACTTTAATAGCTCACTACAGCCTCAAGCTTCTAGGCTAAAGCAATGTTCCTGCCTCAGCCTCCCAAGTATCTGGGACTACAGGAGAGTGCCACCATGCCCGGCTAATTTTTGTATTCTTTTAGAGATAAGGTCTGGCTCTTTTGCCTAGGCTGATCTCAAACTCCTGGCCTCAAGCCTCCCAAAGTGTTGGGATTACAAACGTGAGCCATCATGCCTGCAGTTTCTTACAAATTTCAGCATATATCGATCTTAAATGTTGGCAGTTCTACTCTAGCTATTTACCCAACAGAAATGACAACACGTAAAAAAAATCAAACAAAATACACAAGAATTTTCATAGCAGTTTGATTTATAATTGTTCCAACTTTCAAAATGTCTATCAACAGCTAAATGAATGAACAATTTGTAGTATAGTCATAGAATGGAATACTGCTTAGCAATGAAAAGAAAAGTATACTCTGCTAACACATGGAACATATAAACAAATCTCAAACACACTGTTAGGCCAAAGAAGCCGGAGAGAAAAAGAGCATATAGTGCATGATTCCATTAATATGAAGTTCTAGAATAGGCAAAACTAAGCTGAGTTGATAGAAAACTAAGCTGAGTTGATAGAAACCAGGAGAGGGGTTGGCTCTGAGTGGAGGGGATTGGGGAGCTGTGTGTGTCCAGGAAATACAAGACAGCTTCCCTGATGGCAGCTAAACTAAAAGCTATCTTCTTAACTGTAAAAATATAAGTTAGAGGATAGTTATATTACCTCTTCAAAATGATGTAAGAAAATACCTGTAGGCCTAGAATCCATTGGAAATCATTTTTGAGTACAAGAATGAAGTTTTTTCTTTTTTTTCTTTTTTTTTTCAGGCTAACGAAAACAGAAAATTTGAGGTTCCTCTTTCCATGAGGATAGATTAGACCTTATCAAAAAACCTCCTGTCTGTCTTTCTCCACCTGCACCCAAAGTGCCCTATGAATTCTGGCAAAATGTAAAAGTTAATTACTTAAAAGAACTAGAGAATGGCCAAACACAGGCATACATTAACAAAAGAAAATGACACTGGGTAAGTTTCCATTTATTAATGGCTTCTTGCCTAGTCCATCCTTGAGCTGAAATGTGAATGCAAAGCTGCAGTCTTCCTATAGCTCTGAAATCAGAAAATTGTGTCCATAAAATCTGCACCCAAACTCCACTGACCTGTGAAAAATGTATGTCTGGCATAAACTATAAAAATCTAGCTAGGTATAGAAGAACTAGAATAAGAATTCAACGGCCACCAACTTCATAGAAGGTAGTTTGGAGTTTATGTCCAATCAAATTGACTACATGCTAAAACAACAGATCAATATTTTATTGAGAAACATGGCAGAATCATGCATTATTTACAGTGTTGAGGATATGATTTAAAAGTACTAGCTACATGAAGAAATGGTAAAACAGAAAATATGATCCATATGCAAGAGAAAAGGCAATCAATGGAAACCAACCATAATATGACACAGATGTTAGATGTTAGGAAAAGGATTTTAATGTAGCTATTATAACTATGCACAAGAACAGACATACACTAATAAAAAATGAATACATCTCAGCAGAGTAATAAACAGAACCAAAGCCAAAAACCACATGATTATCTCAATAGATGCAGAAAAGGCCTTTGACAAAATTCAACAACTCTTCATGCTAAAAACTCTCCATAAATTAGGTATTGATGGGACATATCTCAAAATAATAAGAGCTATCTATGACAAACCCACAGCCAATATCATACTGAATGGGCAAAAACTGGAAGCATTCCCTTTGAAAACTGGCACAAGACAGGGATGCCCTCTCTCACCACTCCTATTCAACATAGTGTTGGAAGTTCTGGCCAGGGCAATTTGGCAGGAGAAGGAAATAAAGGGGATTCAATTAGGAAAAGAGGAAGTCTAATTGTCCCTGTCTGCAAATGGCATGGTTGTATACCTAGAAAACCCCATTGTCTCAGCCCAAAATCTCCTTAAGCTGATAAGCAACTTCAGCAAAGTCTTGGGATACAAAATCAATGTACAAAAATCACAAGCATTCTTATACACCAACAACAGACAAACAGAGAGCCAAATCATGAGGGAACTCCCATTAACAATTGCTTCAAAGGGAATAAAATACCTAGGAATCCAACTTACAAGGAACGTGAAGGACCTCTTCAAGGAGAACTACAAACCACTGCTCAATGAAATAAAAGAGGATACAAAGAAATGGAAGAACATTCCATGCTCATGGGTAGGAAGAATCAATATCGTGAAAATGGCCATACTGCCCAAGGTAATTTATAGATTCAATGCCATCCCCATCAAGCTACCAATGACTTTCTTCACAGAATTGGAAAAAACTACTTTAAAGTTCATATGGAACCAAAAAAGAGCCCGCATTGCCAAGTCAATCCTAAGCCAAAAGAACAAAGCTGGAGGCATCACGCTACCTGACTTCAAACTATACTGCAAGGCTACAGTAATCAAAACAGCATGGTACTGGTACCAAAACAGAGATATAGATCAATGGAACAGAACAGAGCCTTCAGAAATAACGCCGCATATCTACAACTATCTGATCTTTGACAAACCTGAGAAAAACAAGCAATGGGGAAAGGATTTCCTATTTAATAAATGGTGCTGGGAAAACTGGCTAGCCATATCTAGAAAGCTGAAACTGGATCCCTTCCTTACACCTTATACAAACATTAATTCAAGATGGACTAAAGACTTAAACGTTAGACCTAAAACCATAAAAACCCTAGAAGAAAACCTAGGCATTACCATTCAGGACATAGGTATGGGCAAAGACTTCATGTCTAAAACACCAAAAGCAATGGCAACAAAAGCCAAAATTGACAAATGGGATCTAATGAAACTAAAGAGCTTCTGCACAGCAAAAGAAACTACCATCAGAGTGAACAGGCAACCTACAAAATGGGAGAAAATTTTTGCAACCTAGTCATCTGACAAAGGGCTAATATCCAGAATCTACAATGAACTCAAACAAATTTACAAGAAAAAAACAAACAACCCCATCAAAAAGTGGGTGAAGGATATGAACAGACACTTCTCAAAAGAAGGCATTTATGCAGCCAAAAAACATGAAAAAATGCTCACCATCACTGGCCATCAGAGAAATGCAAATCAAAACCACAATGAGATACCATCTCACACCAGTTAGAATGGCAATCATTAAAAAGTCAGGAAACAACAGGTGCTGGAGAGGATGTGGAGAAATAGGAACACTTTTACACTGTTGGTGGGACTGTAAACTAGTTCAACCATTGTGGAAGTCAGTGTGGCGATTCCTCAGGGATCTAGAACTAGAAATACCATTTGACCCAGCCATCCCATTACTGGGTATATACCCAAAGGACTATAAATCATGCTGCTATAAAGACACATGCACACGTATGTTTATTGCGGGACTATTCACAATAGCAAAGACTTGGAACCAACCCAAATGTCCAACAATGATAGACTGGATTAAGAAAATGTGGCACATATACACCACAGAATACTATGCAGCCATAAAAAATGAATGAGTTCATGTCCTTTGTAGGGACATGGATGAAATTGGAAATCATCATTCTCAGTAAACTATCGCAAGAACAAAAAATCAAACACCGTATATTCTCACTCATAGGTGGGAATTGAACAATGAGAACACATGGACACAGGAAGGGGAACATCACACTCTGGGGACTGTTGTGGGGTGGGGGGAGGGGGGAGGGATAGCATTAGGAGATATACCTAATGCTAAATGACGAGTTAATGGGTGCAGCACACCAGCATGGCACATGTATACATATGTAACTAACCTGCACATTGTGCACATGTACCCTAAAACTTAAAGTATAATAATAATTAAAATAAAAAAAGAAACTACAAATTAAACCAAAACATTCTAGCACTAATATATTTGCTAATATTTAAATTGTCTCTTATATTTTTGTTTTTTATATATATATATATATATATATATATATATATATATATATATATATATATGCTGGAATTTCTTTTTGTTTGATTTAAAGAAATTTTATTTACTATATCACTATTATAAATAATGAGGCTGGGTGAGGTGGCTCATGCCTGTAATCCTAACACTTAGAGGCCGAGGCGGGCAGATCACCTGAGGTCAGGAGTTCAAGACCAGCCTGGCCAACATGGCGAAATCCCATCTCTACTAAAAATACAGAAAAAATTAGCCTGGCATGGTGGTGAGCACCTGCAGTCCCAGCTACTCAAGAGGCTTAGGCACAAGAATCACTTGAAGCCAGGAGGTGGAGGTTGCAGTGAGCCAAGATCATGCCACTGCACTACAGCCTGGGTGACAGACAGACAGATTTTTTTGGGACTCTGTCCCAAAAAAATACAAAACACACACACAAAAAAAACATATATATAATTTCTGTAAAACAAACAAAAAGAAATTCCAGCATTGAAAACACAGTATCTGAAATTTAAAACTCACCGGATAAGTTAATGACAGACTGGAGATGACCAAAGTAAAGGATCAGTTAACTTGAAGACAGATCAATAGAAATTAGGAGTAGCCAAGGAAAAAATATTTTAAAAGAACAGAACCTCAGGGACCTGCAGAACAATACCTGGGACTGGAGTCCCAGAGGACAAGGGAAAGAAGATAAAGTAGGAAAAAAATTGAAAAAATAATGACCAAAATTTCCTCCCATTTCATAAAATATATAAATTTGCAGACTTGATGAATCTTAAGCTTCAAGCATTGTCTATAGGCAGAAGATAAACGGCCCCGTTTCATAAAAGGTTTTGGCATGAAGAAGAAATGAAAAAGAAGGTACAGGAAATATGCTGGTGATTTGAACACATAGACAGTATACAATAATAAAATAATGTCCTAATGAATTAAAAGGATACAATTATGTGATGACAATAACATAAGTTTAAAAGGAGTGTGGTTAAAGTACCATATGGAAAGGGAAATGGTAGTGATTATCCTCAAATGTAAGTTATGTCTGTGGGTGACTACTGAAATAATGGCTATACAGTGTAAAACATAGTAGGAGAGAGGATAGGCAGGATGATAGGAAATATCCCCCTAGAATTCTATATCCAGACAATTTTCCATAAAGGTATTTTCAGATATTCAACCCCTCCCAAATATTCTTTAATTCCTCTTTTTCAGAAAACATCTGGAGAATATGCTCTGCCAAAAAAATGGTGAGGTGGGGAGGCAGGGAAGCAAGAACAATAAACGGAGTCATATTCATTTTCTGGGGCTGCCCTAAAAATCTATGACAGATTGGGTGGCTTAAACTACAGGAATATATTTGCTTTTCTTTTTTGTTAAATTTTAAAAATTTGTCTTTTTTTTTAAGAGAAAAGTTTTAAACTTCTAAGTTCTGGAATACCTGTGCAGGACATACAGGTTTGTTACATGGGTAAACGTGTGTCATGGTGGTTTGCTGCACCTATCAACCCATCACCTAGGTATTAAGTCATGGATGCATTAACTACGTATCCTGATGCTCCCCTTCCCCCCACTCCCCACCTACATGCCCCAGTGTGTCTTTGTGTTCCCCTCCCTGTGTCCATGTGTTCTCATCGTTCAGCTACCACTTACAAGTGAGATAATGCGGTGTTTGGTTTTCTGTTCCTGCGTTAGTTTGCTGAAGATAATGGCTTTAAGCTCCATCCACGTCCCTGCAAAGGACATGATTTCATTCCTTTTTATGGCTGGATAGTATTCCATGGTGTGTATGTACCATATTTTCTTTATCCAGTCTAACATTGATGGGCATTTGGGTTGATTCCATATCTTTGCTATTGTGAATAGTGCTGCAATGAACATATGCATGCATATATCTTTATAATAGAATGACTTGTAAGGAATATATTTTTTATATGCCAGAGCCTAGAAGTCCAAGGTCAAGGTGTGGGCAGAGTTGGTTTCCTCTGAGGCCTTGCTCCTTGGGTTACGGATGGCTGCGCACTTGCTATGTCTTCATGAGGTGGTCCTTCTTTGCATACTGCCCCTGGTTTCTCTCTGTGTGTCTTAATCTCCTCTTCTTAGAAGGACCCTAGTCAGATTGGATTTGGGCATACATTAATGACTTCATTTTAATTTAATTACCTCTTTAAAGGCCCATTCTTTAAATTTGGTCACATTCTGAGGTACTGGCAATTAGGGTTTCAAAATATGAATTTTGGGGGAGCACAATTCAGTCCATAACAGGGGTATAAGAAAAAGGGGTAGTAAAGAAGCATAATTCCCTGAAATGAAGCTTTAGTGAAATTCCCAGGATGACAGCTGCAGCAGGCAGGCCAGAGAACAGCAGTCCGAGTTGAAGCAGGAAGATGGAGGATTCCCACAGTGATAGCAACAAGAAAAACAAAAACTTTCAGATTTATCTGAAGTGTGAAAATATCGAGAAAATATTTACTCTTCTGGCAGATAGTTAAAGAGGAATTAGAGATAGATATATAGGAAACTTAGCAAATTAAAAATTTGGCACTAATTTACTCCATAGAGAACAAAGAGTTGTACAAGAAAGGAAATACAAGCATAGCTATGATATGGCTTATCTGTAAATAGTATTTACATAGCTATAGTAATAAAAACCCTGGTTATTTTTCCAATTAAAATTGTGATGTAACTCTATTTAGAAGAGGGTTTGGGAAAATGCGAAAGAGGTCAATCTCACCTTCCATAATAGGAAGTAAATAATAAGACCTAAACCTGGAAAAAGCAAAAAAAAAAAAAAGAAAAAAATGGTTATAGTGTGCTCTTAAGGATATGAACATGACTAAGAGAAGAAGCTTCAGAGTTAGAGGAATTTGTTTCTGAGAATGAAACCAGAAAACAGGTAGAGGTGAGACAGGACACTACTGTTTGGCATAAAAATTTAGACTTTTTAAGCTAAGAACATATATTTATAGCAAATGTTTGAAAAAAAAGCAAATTAAAAAATATATTGAAAAGCAGAATTTTGTATTAGCCCGTTCTTCCATTGCTATAAATACACTGGGAAATTTACAAAGAAAATTACTGGAGACTGGGTAATTCATAAAGAAAAAAGGTTTAATTGGCTCACAGTTCCACAGCCTGTACAGGAAGCATGGCTGGTGGGGGGACCCTCAGGAAACTGGCAATCATGGTAGAAGACAAAGTGGAAGCCAGCAGGTCCTTCATTGCTGGAGCAGGAGGAAGAGAGAGCAAAAGGGGAAGTGCCACGCACTTGTAAACCACCAGATCTCATGAGAACTCACTCACTATCAAGAGAGGGGGAAGTCCATCCCCATGAGCTAATCACCTCCCACCGGGCCCCTCCTCCAACACTGAGGGTCACAACTTGAGATGAGATTTGGATGGGGACACACAGCCAAACCATATCATTTCACCCCTGGCCCCTCCCAAATCTCATGTTCTCCTCGCATTTCAAAACATAATTATGCTTTCCCAACAGTCCCCCAAAGTCTTAACTCATTGCAGCATTAACTCAAAATTCCAAGTCCAAAGTCTCATACTAGCTAAGGCAAGTCCCTTCCACCTATGAACCTGTAAAATCAAAAACAAATTAGTTACACCAAGATATAATGGCAGTATAAGCATTGCCCAAATACTCCCATTCCAAAAGGGACAAATCCTCCAAAACAAAGGGGCTTCAGGCCCTATGCAAGTCTGAAATCCAGCAGGGCAGTCAAATTTTAAAGCTCCTAAATAATCTCCTTTGACTCCATGTCTCACATCCAGGCCACACTGATGCAAGGGGTGGGTTCCCAAGGCCTTGGGCAGCTCCGCCCCTGTGGCTCCTCAGGGTCAGGCCCCCACAGCTGTTTTCAATGGCTGGTTGTTGAGTGCCTGTGGCTTTTCCAGACACACAGTGCAAGCTGTCAGTGGATCTACCATTCTGGGGTCTGGAGGATGGTGGCCCTCTTCTCACTGCTTTACTAGGCAGTGTCCCAACATTTCTCTGAATATATATGCTTACTGCCTTTTTTTGATATCTCCACTCAGTATTTCATAGATAGTTCTTAGTTCCTTATTCCCCAGTCATGTTTCCTCTTTCTCCTGAACCTCCACCCACTGTGTTTTTCCATGCACGAAATAGCACCATTATTCAGCCAGTCACCCAAGTCAGAAAGCTAAACATCATATGTCTCTGATTTACTGCCAACACATAATCACTGAATCCTATTGGTTCCACCTCTTTACAATCAGCTTCCTTTTCTCCATCTCTGCTGATTGTCACTTAGTTCTGGTATTACCAAACTTTTTATAGTTATTTACACAGGTACCAATTATTCTCTTGCCTTTAGTCACATACTAGTTCTTCTGCTTGAACCAATTTTTTGTCTTCTCTTTTAGAGATGTGCAAAAACACTGGATCTTTCAGAAAGTTCTCCCTCACATTACTCATTTTGGCCTGGATATGATATTTGTGCCTATTATAATGATTGACACACAGAAGATGAATAATTTTCTTTCAAGAATAAATGGATTGAATTAATATTGATAAATTCTAAGAGAATGGGTTTGATTCTTCCATCATTGAGTAGGAGCCATTTCTAGGTTACTGAGGTTTAGGTAAAAAATTGTATATCTGTTCTACCTAAACTCTATGCTGGCTAGAATATTTTAAAACTGTTTTTATTGAAAAGTACAAATGTTCTAGCCATCATCTGCAAATTCAAATGCCATGGCTTTTAAATAAAATAGAAAAATGCCTGTCATTTTAGGTATTTTCTTTAACACATAGATATTGTGAAAGAAAGGCCCTGATACTTTAGGAAGTATCTTCTCTTGAAGAGGTTAAACTCAGTAGAAGAACACTGTCTGCTTAAAAGATATCAATCAGAGATTCAGCTACTCCTTTTCCCCTTCCTGTCCTCAGTTGAGCAACTGTCAGTTTGCCAGAAAAGACCTCAACCCTTGCTCTGCTAGGATGTCAGGGAGATACATATTCATTGAGGACTCCTCGGGACAGAGTGAACTTGATGGCTGCATTTCACTGTGCTTATTCTTAGAGAAAATTTATTTTAAGATACAAAATTTCTCCCTTATATTAGGATATAATCTTGACAGCTAAGGGGGTAAACAGTCACAAGAGGTTGCTCAATGGAAAAATTTCAGTAGCGCTAAGTTCAAGAAGAATTTAAAATGAAAGGACTGTATACAAGCAATGTAATTACCTTTGTCATCTCCTTCAACTTTTCAGTGCTGGAACTTTCCAGTAGCTAAACACACAACTAGAAATGAATCTATTTTCATATTTCTTCATATACATTTATAAATAGGAGGTGGCAAAATACAGATTACGTTGTTATGTATTTTCCCCTTTTTGTTTTTCTGCATATGATTGCATTGGGAAACAGAATTCATATGTGGCATCCCGGTTCATCTCTTACTTTGTGACCTTGAATAATTATTTTGGCAATTTAATGAAGCTCAGTTTCATTTTTTACAAGATAGAGATAATATAGTTTTGCCAAATACAAAGCTTTTAAAACATATCAAATTAATTTATACAGAAGAGTACTATAATAGTAGAAGTGTTTACAAATGCAAAATATTCTTTCTTACATAATACACATATCATATTCATTGTTGAAGTTTCTAAACATAAGTTAATTAGAGACATATATTGCACTCAATATAGATATATTGTTTACATGGTTTGTTCATAGCATGAGTTTAGTAGGGCATTTTGTCAAAGGAGACACAATTCTTCTCTAGAGTAGGTTTAGGTTATATGGTGAAAGAATTTGATGCTATGATTAGAAGTTAGGACATGATTTTTTTTTTTGGCAAACAAGTGAGATTGTTTTCATCCATTCTTATTCATTCTTATGTATTAGTTTTGCAATATATTTGAGCCACTACTAAGTAATAAGCTTTGTCTTAGGTGTTGAGGATAAAAAGATGAGCATTGCTCAGCCTTTGACATCTAGCTATGCACAATTTAGTAGGGATTCAGAAAAATAAAATTTGTAATAAAACACTCTGCACATTCTATCAAGTGTTATGAAAGTGTAAAAGAAGCGGTAATTAACTTTACATGGAGACGGGACAGACAGATCCAGAAATGCTTCATGGAGAACATCTAGATGTAAAGAGCAAGTAAAGAGAGAAGAAGATATAAAGGAATTCTAAGTTAAAAAAAGACAGTAGCAAAAGGTAACATAACTAAATTAATGTATAAAGAACAAGGTACCTAAAGATTAGAATATGTGGTAAGGAAAAGGTAATGATTATAGAAGGAAGGAAGGCAGATCATGGAGAGCTTGTTACCATGCTTAGAAATCTAAACTTTATTCTGCAGATACTGAGCTATATTAAAGAGTTTTAAATAGACAAGTGTCAAGTGTCCTAAGTCAGATTGTGTATATGTGTGTGTGTGTGTGTGTGTGTGTGTGTGTGTGTTTATTCTGAAAGTGGTGTGGAGAAGAAATTCCAGTGTAAAGAGTCCAAAATTAGGGTGATAGGAGGCTATTGCAACAGATTTTTTAAAATGTTGAAGCTCTAAAATAAAATGCTTTTCATGAGGATAAAGATTTGGGATGATAAAGAAAAATAGTTTAGAAGTACAATGATTGAATGAAGATGAAATATGATGGAGAAGTCAATATCTAAACTGACTACTGGCTTCAGATTTGGGTACGTCATGGGATGGTGGTTGCTATGGCTTGAATGTCCCCCTCTAAAACTCATGTTGAAATTTAATTGCCATTGTGACAATATTAAGAGATGGGAGTTTGAGAAGGTGATTAGATTATGAAGCCTCCGCCAGTGCTGTTATCTCAGGAGTGGATTAGTTATTGCCTGAGTGGATTGTTATGAAAGTGAGCATTCTCTCACAGGAGCTCTCTTGCCCTTCTGCCATGGAATGATGCAGCAAGGAGGCCCTTACCAGATGATGGTGCTATGCTCCTGGGCTTCCCACCCCCATAGAATCACAAACCAAATAAACCCCTTTTAAAAAATAAAAATTAAAATACCTAATCTCAAGTATTCTGTTACAGCAACAGAAAACCGACTAAGAAAATTGATACTAAGAAGTGTGGTGCTGGCTATAACAATTATCTGGCTGGGCGCGGTGGCTCATACTTGTAATCCCAGAACTTTGGGAGGCTGAGGGGGGCAGATCATGAGGTCAAGAGATTGAGACCATCCTGGCCAACATGGTGAAACTCCGTCTCTACTAAAAATACAAAAATTAGCTGGGTGTGGTGGCTTGTACCTGTAGTCCCAGCTACTCAGGAGGCTGAGGCAGGAGAATCACTTGAACCCGGGAGGCAGAGGTTGCAGTGAGCCAAGATTACGCCACTGCACTCCAGCCTGGTGACGGAGCAAGACTCCTTCTCAAAAAAAAAAAATTTTATCTGAAAACATGAAAATGACTTTAAAACTAGATAAGGGGTGCAGGCTGCAAGAACTTTGAGGAGAAGGCTAGAGAAAGGACAGCTTGCAATAAACAGAGCATTAAGGGCAATTCTAGTGAAAGCTCATAAAAAAGCTGTAAGGAAAGTCTGGAGCTTCTTAGTTATTATCTAAGAGGAAGCAATCAGAATGCTGATAGAAATACTGGCAGTGAAGTCTATTCTGATGAGGTCTCAGACAGAATTGAAGAACAAGAAATTGAAAACTGGAGTAAAGATTATCCTTGCTAAATTGTGGCAAAGAACTTGGTTGCATTGTGTCCATGCTCAGGGGCTTAATATAAGGTGGAATTTAAGGATGATGAACTAGGATATCTGGCAGAGGAATTTTCAGAACAAAATAATGAGGGAATCATGTGGCTATTTTTGGCTACTTACAGTAAGATCAGAGGAGAAAGGAATGATTTAAAGATAAAATTTATAATTGGAAGGGAAGCAGAGGAAAAAGATTTAAAAACATTGCATCTTGGTCATGTAAGGAGTGAAAAGGCATCTTTAGGAGAGATTAGTACCAATAGAAGAGAACCAGATGCTCTTTATCAGGAAAATGGGGGAAAATCTAAAATTTGAGATCTTCATGGCTGCCCCTCCCATCATAAGCCCAGAGCTCTAGGAGGGCAGAATGGTTTCTGGGGAAGGACCTGGAGCACCTTCCAAAATCTTGCTGCCTAGAGCTGCCTCTGAACTCTGTTCCCTGCATTCTGGTGCAGTGCTCCTCAGCCACCCCAACTGTGGCTCAAGCAGGCCCGGAGTAGCTTGGGATACTGCTATGGAACAGCCTTAAGCTTGGCAGCATCCACATGGTGCTAATTCTGCAGGCTTACAGAATGCAAGCACTCTGGAGGCATAGTGATCTCCACCTAGACTTCAAAGAATGTATCCAACAGCCTGGGGACCCAGGCAGACACTTGTTGCAGGGGTGGAGGCACTGCAGTGAGTCCCTACTAGGGTAGTGCATGAGAACTGGGACTGTGATTGAGATATTGCATGGGAAGTGGGATCATGATCGATACCCCAGAACTGTAGATCTACCAGCGTTGGAAAGCTTCAGGCACCCACCTCCCACCCATGAGAGCAGCCACATGACCTGCACCTTGCAAAGCTATAGGGATGGGGCTGCCTGAGGCCTTGGGAGTCCAACCCCCACACCAGTGTGCCCAGGATCTGAGACATGGAGTCAAAGGAGGTTATTCTAGCATTTTAAGACTTACTGTTTTTACCCTGTTGAATTTTGGACTTACTTGGGAAAAGTAACCCCTTTATTGTTACCCATTTTTTCCTTTTGGAATAGGAATGTCTATCCTATATCTGTATCACCATTGTATTCTAGAGGTAGATAACTTGTTTTGAGTTCATATGCTCATAGTCAGAGTGAGTTTGCATCATGATGAATTGTGCCTTGAGTCTCACCCATGTCTGATTCAGATGAGACACTGGACTTTGAACTATTGAGTTGATGCTGGAATAAATTAAGACTTTGGAGGCTATTGGGATAGAATGAATGTATTTTGCGTGTGAGAAGGACATGAGTTTTAGGGGGCCAGGGATGGAATGCTTTGGTTTCCATGTCCCCTCCAAAACTCTTGTTGAATTTTAACTTCCATTGTGATGCTATTAACAAGTGGGACCTTTAAGTGGTGATAGATCATGAGGGCTGTGCCCTCATTAATGGATTAATGCTCTTATGGCAGGAGTGGATTAATTTTTGTGAGAATGGGTTAGCTATTGCCAGAGTGGTTTGTTATAAAAGCAAGCTGTCTTCACACAAGCTTTCTTGACCTTCTGCCATGGAGTAAATCAGCACGAAGGCCATTGACAGATGTCAGTAACATGCTTTTAGACTTCTCAGCCTCCAGAATCATGTGCCAAATAAACCTCTAAATTACTCCAGTCTCAGGTAGTCTTTTATAGCAGCAGAAAACAGCCTAAATCAGTGGTTGTAGCTACAAGCAGATAGACAGGTTTGGGGTACAGGTATTAGTGGTTGAAAAATGGGTTTCATTTAGGATATGTTGAGTTTTACTGTTAAAGAATTCAAAAGGACGTTTTTATTAAAAAAGCATATATACGTGTTTGACCTCTGTAGAGAATTGACAGGAATGAGTGAGGGAGAAATATTAAAGTTACCAACCTTTTATAAAGTTCATAGTTGAATTTTTGGATATGGTTTAAAAAGCTTACAAGGATTGTTAAATATGAAAGAAAAAGCTTAGGAAGGAGAACTCTATGTCTGGTTTTGGACAACTCTTATCAGGTAATGGTCCAGTAGCAATACTGAAATAAATTTCTTATGACATTAAAATATTATTCTCTATTGAAATGAGATTAATGTTATTAACTCACTAATTAATCATACTGGCATAGAAAAATTATGTGAAGATACACATTAGAATAAAAGTTTAATATGAAAATTTCTAGGTATACCATATGTATATTTCTACATTTTAGGATTATTTATCAGAGCATGACCAAATTATAATATAGGCAATCTTGGAAAAATTACTGCTTCTTATATATTAGGTTCTTCAACTTCAAAACAAGGAACGATGATGAATAGTTCACCTTCTAGCCCTACAATTTCAAGCAAGGCTAAATTAGAATCTAGGCTTTGCCACCTACTGGCAGTGAGCCTGTCATTGGCTTTAACCCTCTTAATGCACTTAACCATCTTATCCCTGCAGTTTCTTAGACCAGGAAGGGGAATGAAATATCAGTATAACTAGGCAAAATAATATAAAGTAGGTGACATTTGTCTATCTTGGCATCTTTAAAATTTTAATTAATAAGAACATCAAATTTTATTTATATATTCCCATCTTAATAGTTTACTTATAATGTGCAATGAGCATATAGCCACTTATTTAAAAGAAAGAAATAACAGGGCACAGTCCTTTTATTTGATATATAATTTTGTAATTCTAGCTCAAAGATAGGTTTGTGGTCTTGATTTGGTCTTGCCTTTGGGAAGAGTGTTTGTATATATATATGTTTGTATATATATTTTAATTACTAGAGTTAGTTTTAGTCATTGGGTTCTCAATATGATTATCCTCATGTCACTCAATATTTTTCTTCATGTCACTAAATTCTTTTTAGAAATGAGATATGCAGCATAGATACATAGTACTTAAAAGACAAGAAGCATTATTTTTTTCATCTTTAATTCTTGGCAAGGTACCTTTAATAATTTTGATCTATTGGCTGTTTTGTAACATTTTACATCACTTTATATCTATTAATGGATTAGTGCACCTATTAGTGGATAAATTAAAAAAATTATGCATCATATTTTGACAAAAAGCTTTTCTTTTCTATGGATCTTATTGCTTTTATTTATTTTTATTCTTTTGAGAGCATTTATAAATTTTTTCTTTTTAAATATAATATATTTTCATTTTGATGTGATATATTTCATCTTCTCACTCTATAATCCTTATGCATTATCTCATTTTTAATCATTTTATATTATTTAAAATACCAACAAATATATTTAGCACAGTATCCAGAATTTACTTTATTTTGCTGAGTTTTCTTATGTTAATTTATTTTAGATTTTGACATAAAATTTTTTTCATCAATGTAGATGTGTTTCTACTTATTAGGTGGGACAGAATCCATCAAATTCAAGTGCCTTTATCATTGATGTTCTTATGTATAGAAATATTGATTAATCAAATTTTCCATATATACCAAATATTATTTTAAAGACTAAAAATAAATTATCCTGTATCTAAATATATAATGAGCAGAAGATAAACTTTCTTTGATGATTTATAACAGGGGTTAAGTTTTTCTGTAAATCCAGATGGCAACGGTTTCAGGCTTTGTGGACAAAAGGAAAACTTGAGGATATTATATAGTTTTTCATATGATGAAAGAAAACATTTTCACAATTTTTATTGACAAAATTAAAAATACAATATTTCAGTATGATTTTTTGTAATATTGGTCAACTAATGAAAAGACTTAAATTTGTTTTTGGAGGCATGATATTTTCCATAAATAATATTCAAAGTTAGTGTTCCCTATCATTAAACTGGTTGCAAATGTTCATTTATAAAAAGCATTCTTAGCTTGAGAGTCATACAAACTGAGACAGTAAGCCAGATGTGGCCTGTGGGCTATAGTTTGTCACTGCCTGAGTTAAAGGCTGCTTCAGCAAAATTTGGACATTTTAAAAATGGTTGAGGATGTTGAAAAATTTTAATTTTAGTTATGTGACTTAATGAAATATAACATTAATGAAACCCAATACTATAGCTATAGATATGTCTGAAAAATTGTGGTCTATCTGTTGTACTGTTTATAAACTTCATGCTTGATTACCTCTCCAGTAAGTCAGAAGTGATTGTTGGCAAATGAAAGAGGACTGGTCTGCAGATGAATTATGATAATAATGCTACCTAGTTTTCCCTCAAGATTAAGAGCTGAGCTACTGATTCTCTGACTCCTTTTCATGATTCATAAACAGTTCTAAAACCATTACACAAAATTATTTGTAAATATTTCATCACATTTTTCTAGACAACGAAGAAAAAGAATATAGAAAGACTTCCCATGATGTGGATCACCCACGTCACCCATCAATGTAATGAGCTGCAAGGAGCCCTGACCACAAAAATCCCTGTCTGCTTAGCTGGGAATAATATGACTACTACATAAAGCTTCAGCTCTGGCCACATGATGAAAATCAAGGCTCTTTCCATTTCCAGTAATTTAAAGAGTATTACTAATCTTTAAGAGAAACCAAGGTGACTCAGGGTTAAGCTTCTCTTTTATTCCTCCTCTTATGCCAGTTTATTAGCTGGGATACATTATTATTACTAAGACATTTAACCTTTGACCTACAGATTTGGCTTCAATATATTGTCCTTCAAATCTGAGGCTGACCTCAGTAACATGGCCAGCTCCTATTTTCTCTAAGGCCAGGGTGCTTCTCTCAGGATCAGAGGCTGTCTACGAGCCCCAGGCTTGAAACTGAGGCACTGATGCCTACTTTGGACCTTGGACACTGCATTCTGGCCTGTTTTCCTGGACCCCCACAGTCTGGCCAACACCAGAATCTCTACTGCAGCGCCTTGCTAGTGTTCTGAAATGATGCCCTGCAAATGCCTATCTATCCTCTGGGTCCAGTAAATGATCAAGTTTTCTGTAATAAGACAATTCAGAAAACTATAGTGAAAAATCATTGTTATACATATATGTATATACACCAATGCTATATATATAGCTATATATTATTATGATATATATAAGTATGTATTATTTTTATATATTTATTTATTATATATTTAATATTTAATATATTTGCATATATAATACATATTATATATTATATTAGCATATATTATTATATATAAGGGTAATATATATGTATATATTAGTTGTGATGTCCTTCCCATTTTTGAGGTTGAAACGCCCCTTACTTTGTGAAATAATGCTTGTATTAAGTGTTTAATATTTAAGTCTTAAGTTGAAAAATAAATTGAAAATAATGTTTGCCTAAAGTTTTGTGATTTTACTAGAGCATAAAATCCCAAAGTCATGGAAAGGGGTAAGGACAGTTCTGGATTATTGCAGTTAGCTCATTATAGTCCTCACAGACACTGATGGCCGGTCCACTTTCACTTGTTGCTAATTATTCTGCTAATTGAGTCCCAAGTCCATTTGCAAGACTGCACTTTGTCCCATAGCCTGAAGAGTGCACCATCCCCAAGGATGGTGGTTTGGTGAGGAGTTATTTTCCATATTTTACCAATCTAGACACTGATGACTACAAGACTTAAGAGATTTGCTTCGAGTGACAGGACTACATGGTCAATCAATGCCAAAGTGGGAGCTAACATGAATGGTAGCAATTCAGCAAGTGCCTACAAATCAGAGTGGCTGAATCTATCTATCACATCCAATTCTGTTATAGGAAATAGGCTTGATGAAATACAATAACTTAATCCACCCAGAAACAACCTGCCCTATCCATCAATCAGTATGTCACCTTCATATTTTTTCTTTCAAAATAACTTTCTTGTAGAAACTTTTTGTATTTGCCTAAACATCTCTTCATGTTTTACTTTCCTATAAACTTGTAGTGGCCCTCATTTTGTCACTTAAGTGGAAATATTGGGATTTCATTCACCAAGTGTTAATGTAATATATAGGTTAATATGCATTTACATGTATTTTGTATTCATTATGCATTTTTATTAATTATTAGCACAATAAGTATAACATTTACTCTTGCAAATACATTTTATTGTTATGTAGGTAACTGAAAGCAATTTTTGCTGGCTGCGTTTTAGAACAATATTTCTGCTACATTTTCCCACATATGCAAATGCATTTATATAAGCCTCATCTTAGATATATATTATGCATTGGGTCACTATTCAAGAGCTGAAAATACCACGTAGATGAATATAAATTTTAGATTAAAAATGTTTTAGGAAGTGCCAACACTTTCAATTCCCCAAGTGCTTCAGATTAATCATGATCAAGCCCATAGCGGGAGACCGAAGGACAATTGCAAGAACATTGTTTAGTTCCTTGGAGAGGATTCATTACCTCAGACATTATTTGACATAAAAACAGATGTACCTCTGTCATTGTTTTGACCTCTCCAACAAGATGAACAACTAGGCTGATACACTTATTGATCAGAGCAAAACCCATTCCACCAGAAATAGACAATACATGCACCCCAGTGTAAATGAAGAATTAACTTCCAAGTAGATTGGCTATTAATCTGGAAACTGAAACAACACAACTAGCTGCCTGGCAGTGCTACCTTTTTATTGTAGGTACACAGATAAAAGGACTGTCTGCATTGCACAGTGGGCAATATTTTATTAATATGGGTAGTTTTGTATGAAGCCTGTAAATCAAATATGCCAAACTCGGTCTACATTCGAAGTGTGTTGAATATTGAAAGTGTTCATCATTTTGCAATTAGCTTGCCTCTGCTTTTTTCTCTAAAGGTCACATGAAGCATTTGTGAACGTTAGTGGGTGCTTATTGAACAACTGATTCAGATGTTATTTCACGGTTATTGATATTTACAAAATTAATATAATACCACCTTACAAAATGGTTCCATTAGCAAAATGTTATGAAGGGAGAATGGGGGGAGGTGAGGGATGAAAAAATTACCTAATGGTAATTTGGGTGATGTTAATACAGAAAACATCACCATTTGGGTGATGTTTACACTAAAACACAGACTTCACCATTTGATAATATATCCACATGCCCGGTGCGGTGGCTCAAGCCTGTAATCCCAGCACTTTGGGAGGCCAAGGTGAGCAGATTACCTGAGGTCAGGAGTTTGAGACCGGCCTGGCCAACATGGTGAAACCCCATCTCTACTAAAAATACAAAAATTAGCCGGGCGTGGTGACGCATGCTTGTAATCCCAGCTACTCAGGAAGCCGAGGCAGGAGAATCGCTTGAACCCGGGAGGCAGAGGTTGCAGTTAGCCAAGATCATGCCACTCCACTCCAGCCTGGCTGACAGAGTGAGACTCTGTCTCAAAAAAAAAAAAAAAAAAGAAAAAAAAATATATATATATATATCTCCACGTAACAAAACTGGGCTTGTATGCCCCAAATCTATAATATAAATTATATATAATTTTAATTTTTCATATATAATTATATGTATATTAAAAATAAACATTGTACAATAATGAGGTATAAACAGAGCGTTTTGAATGAGTTAAAAACCTGTTTAAATTAGCTGGGAAAAATTTTTAAAACTTACTAGTTCTAAACTCTTTTCAAACCCTTCTGTGAGTTCTATTTTTCATCATTTCTAAGGACTAAAAAAATTAAAGCAACTGACAAATATTTAATGCAAATTGCTTATATATGACTGGGTGAAAGGGAGGAAAAATATTTTCCTGTCCCCTCCTAGGCTCATGGCTGAAAGCCTAACAACAAAAGACAGATTAACAAGAGAAAAGGATACACATTTATTTAATGTAAGTTGTACTTCACATGGCAGCCTTTATAAGGAAAGGAAGACCTGAAGAAACAGTTAAACTGTGTATGTTTCATAGTAGGTTTGATGAAGAATAAATAGTCATGGAGAAACATGATTGGAGGGCAAAGGGTATGATCTAATGATAATAAACTGAGGGAAACACAGCAAGGTCAATTTGTTCAGATTCTTTTTGTATCCCTATGTCTTCAGACACAAGGACATCCCTTTCCTCTGGGTATAGGGTGGCACCTCTCATATGAGGGTCTTTTGACTTGCTTCAGGGGAAAATTTAAAAATCCTTCTTAGGTTTTATAACATGCTTCAGGGGAGAAAGGCAAAGGGAAAGCGAGAGTGAATTTCCTGCCTCTGCTGTTTTCTCAAATGCCATTTTTGGGTAACATATCCTGAACTCCATCACTAGGTAAGGGCCAGGAATCATTCAGTAACTTCTTTAATTAAATGAAATTAAGGTAAATGTGTGTGTGTGTGTGCGTGTGTGTGTGTGTGTGTCTTGGGGAAAGGATAGTGGGAAAGCGGGACAGAAGAATGGTGGGATCTGGTTGTTTCCATATATTTTCATTTCTCCTGAAATACCCTTTCTATAATCAAGTAAGAAGCGACATTAGTTACATGAATATGTATATATTTATGTACACACACACATATACACAAACACACAACTGGACTTCTAGTCTTCTTCCTATCTAAAAGTTATAAAGGGGAAGAATGATGTGTGTTTACTGGAGTAAAAAATTTATATCAGGGATGCATGAATCAATCAATAGATTTTTCAAGATGATTTCATAGAACTTTTGTGCCAACTCATATGCTATAAATATTAGATGTGCCATACAGAAATTGCTTTTTACCCATAGAGATTCACTGATAAATCCAAATCCCTCACCATGCTAAATGCAGACTTTCTGCAGAGATAAATGTCATTAACTATTGCTGTACCACTTAGTGCTTTCTCAGTCTACGTAGGAGCTATGTTCTTTTAGTAGACATCACAAAAAGCAAAGTTGTCTTTCTTGAAAGCTCAATTTTCTTTCATATAATAAAATTAAAAGTTGTTTAATTAGAAACCCTACTTAATAGCAATGATTACTAATTTATTTTAAATAAAAAATAAAATAATTTTAAGTGAAAAAAATTATAAATAGTAAAGATGCTCTCAAGACACAAGAGACCATTCGTGAAATTTGGAAATACTTTTGAAAATTAAGAATAATTTTTAGACAACTTCTCCATTAGCATTCAATTATTCCACCTTTTATAACAAACTGTCAACATAAAAGTATAAAAGTTGCCAACATAAAAGTATAAAATTTATCATACAATCAGGATCACAGTTGTAAAAATGAACGACATGTAAATATTTTTTCCTTATGTGAGTTAAACTTGTTTGCAGCACAGCCAATTTATATGTCATTCTTCTTACCTGTTGAAGTTCTTCAACAGTTGCTTTAACTACAGTGTTTAAGAATTTTAGAGGTGGTAGAAGAAATTTAGTAGACAGAATGCTGAAATATTCTTTGGCCTTTTATTTCAGAGGAAGACATTTTGGTCATAAGTGAGATATGGTGTCTTGATGTTATCAGTAGTACTACTTCTGATGATTAATATATCTACATCACTTTAATGTAGAAATGTTTTTGTTTACATTTCTTATTTGATCTTTACAATAAACTAATGACATAGAGGGGTAGATAAGTAAAGATAATATTTATTATCATTGATAAACAATTAAGGAATTAAAACAGAATTTTAGAGATTCATCCGGCATCTTATTTTGAGAAACAGTAGAGAAGAGACTGACTCATTAACTAATCTTTTGATTTTCATTCTGGAGCCTTACATCATACTAAGTTGCTAATACAGTTGATTTCCAAGTGTAGAGTATCTGTCTTATGGCTTATTAAAGGGCATTTAGGCACTGCTGATGATTCATTATGGTCTTCATTTTAATAACATTGCACCACTTTTAAACGAAAGAAGCATATGAGTTAATCCAAGACATTTGCGATGACTGAGAAAAGAAGGGTGAAGGTTAGAAAAAATTCCAAGATGGTGTAGTATTACAAGTCTGGATCATGTACCAGGAGACCATATCAAAGTTAAAGTATTTGGAATTTATATATTTTCATAATTTTATGGAAATGTAAATTACTCTATTTAAAAAAATTTCTCCTCTCGCTTTTTTCTAATTTTTTGGAAAAGTTGTTTATGAAATCCCCTTCTAATTTTTCCTTCACCTTCACAGATGAAAGACTAACTCTATTATTTCACTGCAGCCTGATTAATGACAGAACGCATAATCTGGAAAGGCTAGAAGGGTTGCGGATGATAGGCTGATTTGTCTCTCTCTCTCTCTCTCTCTCTCGATATATATATACATATATGTACATATATTTTATATATACATATATACGTATATACATATATGTATATACTTATATATACATATATACGTATATACATATATGTATATACGTATATATACGTATATATCATATATACATATATATCATATATACGTATATACGTATATATGTATATACATATATGTATATACACATATACGTATATATGTATATACACACATATACGTATATATGTATATACACACATACATATATACGTATATGTGTGTATATACATATATACATATATTTTAAGATATATATACATATATACATATATTTTAAGATGTATACATATATAGATATATATGTATATATATCCTAAAATATATATTTATTATCATTGATAAACAAGGAATTGAAACAGAATTTAAGATATTTGTCTCTCTATATATATATCTTAAAGTATATGCTTATTATCACTAATAAGGAATTGAAACAGTTTAAGAGATTTGTCTCTCCCTTTCTATATAAATCTTAAAATGTATATTTATTATCATTGATCAATAAGGAATTGAAACAGAATTTAAGATATTTGTCTCTCTCTACATATATCTCTGAAAATATATATTATCATTGACAAATCTTACATTCTGTTTCAATTCCTTATTTATCTCTCTCTATATATATCTTAAAATATATATATTATCATTGAGAAACAAATAAGGAATTGAAACAGAGAATTGAAGAGATTTATCCAGGGTCTCATTTTGAGAAGCAGTAGAGCAGAGACTCATCAACTAGTCTTTTGATTCTAACTCTAGTGTCTTCCATCATGCTAAGCTGCTAATACAGTCAACTTCCAAGTGTAGAGTAAAAACAGAGAGCGCTGTTTTTTGAAAAGATCACATTATTTCCTTAAGATCGATTCCCAGAAGAATAAGTTAGTTTAGAAAGATATAGTTTTTAGTGATGAAAGTTTTTATCAAAGTCTGGTTCAATTTAATTTTCATAAGCAGTGTTTGAATATACCAATTTTTCTGTGCCTCTGGTTTCATCTTTATTATGTTAATGGGCTGGAAGAATACATTAACTCATTGAGTTAGTTGGCTTTTCCTTTATATTCGTGAGTTTAAACTATTTGTTTATTAATCATCAATATTTTCTCTTTTATAACTTCTTTTATGTATTGATTTATTCAACAATACTTATTGAATTCCTATTTTTGCCAGATACTGCTTGACACTAAGAATCTAAAGTTGAGAAGAAAGTCATTACTTTCAAACAGTTTGCCACCTGTTGGGTATAGGAAAGCAAAGGGAGGCAAAAAATAATTTGCTGGTATTCATCTTTTTCCTGCTATAAATAAATTATTACTAAGTAGTTCCCATTATCTGACAAAATATAATCCAAGAACTTTTTCTTTTTAGGCATTATTGCAAAGCAAATAAAGCACATACTGTTAAGATAAAATGAAATGATTAAATGAGCATAAAGGTGCTGGGATATAAAGCATTAGATTTTAATGGATAATGTCAAATGAACCATTTAGTAAAACTTGAAATGCAAAATGACTATATACAATTTAAAACTGCAAATGATTAATAATCTCTTCTCTTTTATAAAACTGCCAAGTCTTTTGTGACATTAGATTAAAATAATTTTTTTTCTGCACAATTTTCTTTCTTTCCAAAAATGCTTCACTACTATCACATCTATTTAAAATAACTACCATCAGAATTCTATTCATTTTATTCAATGATCACTTTTAGGACATTGCAATTTGAAAAGCTAGGATAATTATGTAACATATTTAAGTCTATAGATCTATCTTGGAATGCATTGGCGCTAATACTTAACATTTGTATTATTATTATTTACAAAACACATTCAGTATAAAAATGTCTTGGAATCTGCAGCAAGGCATGGGAGGGAGAGATGATGAGTCAGTCCTCGTTCAGAAACATGGTCATGGAAAGACAGCCAAAAGTCTCTAGCGAGACACACAATCTCCAAAAATCTTTTTGTAAACTTCCTTTCTGCCTATCTTCAGCTTTTTCTCCCTAAATACCTCTGTGCCTCACCATTGCTACTTCCTGTTCAATTAACATCTTTCCTATGATTGACTAGAACATTTCTACCAATTTCCAAGTTCCATATCTCTATCTTTCCAAAATTTTTCTTGTCTCCATCTTTCTTCATATTTTGGGCAAATTAATTTCTTATTTGTGTGTTCTCAAAGCATTTTCTAACTCCCATTATGCCATCTACAAGTGGTAATATTGCAATATGTTTTCTGTTCCTCTCTCCCTTTTGCCAAGAATTGAGCACCTGGGGGAATATTTGTGGACTGTTAACAGCAGATGTGAATAATTGAACTAATTACACACTTTTTGAGTAGTGAACGTTTTGAGTAGTGAATGTTAGGATAGAGGTGACAGTTTCTTTGGAAATATCTGTAGTGCTAAGTGTACAAGTCCTGGGCAGGGCAGAAAAAAAATTACAGAGGGCCAATAATAAGCCTATTTCAGATCCCATTCACAAAAGTCTATTTGTTGGAAAATACTAAAGATCTTATTATTATAAAATCCTTTTCATTTTATAAGGAAATGCCATTGTATCAACCTGAGCTCCAGGGCATTTAGACACCATTTTCCATAATTTAAAAACTGAGTACAAAGATAAAAATATAAAACACTTTAATTCCCTGTAAGAGAAAATTTAGTTCTTTAATTTTTGATAAAAAATAATTATCTTTACTGTAGTTACATTTTACAACAGCTCACTTCAACGCTGGATGAATAAGATGATTTTTAAAACCCTGGAAAGTACATCATACATTACACTAGTAAGACTAATAGACTAGATATTGCTGGCAAGATGGACGAATAGAAACAGCTCTGGTCTGCAGCTCCCAGTGAGATCAACACAGAAGGTGGGTGATTTCTGCATTTTCAACTGAGATACCCGGTTCATCTCACTGGGACTGGTTGGAAAGTGGGTGCAGCCCAAGGAGGGCAAGCTGAAGCAGGGTGGGGCGTTGCCTCACTTGGGAAGGGCAAGGGGTCAGGGAACTCCATCTCCCAGCCCAGGGAAGCCATTAGGGACTGTACTGTGCACTCCAGCCCAGATACTGTGCTTTTCCCACAGTCTTCGCAACCTGCAGACCAGGAGATTCCCGCTGGTGCCTGCACCACCAGCGCCCTGGGTTTCCAGCACAAAACTGGACGGCCATTTGCGCAGACACTGAGCTAGCCCCAGGAGTTTTTTTTTCATACCCCAGTGGCACCTGGAACACCAGAGAGACAGAACTATTCACTCCCTTGGAAAGGGGGCTGAAGCCAGGGAGCCAAGTGGTCTGGCTCTGTGGGTCCCACCCCCATGGATCCCAGCAGGCTAAGATCAACAGGTTTGAAATTCTCGCTGCTAGTACAGCAGTCTGAGCTCAACCTGGGATGCTAGAGCTTGGTAGAGGAGGGGCATCCACCATTGCTGAGGCTTGAGTAGGCAGTTTTACCCTCTCAGTGTAAACAAAGCCACCTGGAAGTTTGAACTGGGTGGAGCCCACTGCAGCTTAGCAAGGCCACTGCTGCCAGAATGCCTCTCTTAGATTCCCAGGGCCATCTCTGAAAAAAAGGCAGCAGCCCCAGTCAGGGACTTATAGATAAAATCTCCACCTCCCTGGGACAGAACACCTAGGGGAAGGGGTGGTTGTGGGTACAGTTTCAGCAGACTTAAACATCCCTGCCTGGCAGCTATGAAGACAGCAGCAGATCTAACAGCACAGCATTCGAGCTCTTCTAAGGGACAGACTGCCTCCTCAAGTGGGTCCCTGACCCCCATGTATCCTGACTGGGAGACACCTCCCAGTAGGGGCTGACAGACGCCTCATACAGAAGAGCTCTAGCTGGCATCTGGCAGGTGTCCCTCTGGGACGAAGCTTCCAGAGGAAGGAACAGGCAGCAATCTTTGCAGTTCTGCAGGCTCTGCCAGTGATACCTAGGCAAACAGGGTCTGGAGTGGACCTCCAGCAAACTCCAGCAGACCTGCAGCAGAGGGGCCTGACTGTTAGAAGGAAAACTAGCAGATATAAATGAATAGTACCAACATCAACAAAAAGGATGTCCACTCAGAGACCCCAGCCAAAGGTCACCAACTTCAGAGACCAAAGGTAGATAAATCCACAAAGATGGGGAGAAACCAGCACAAACAGGCTGAAAATTCCAAAAACCTGAACGTCTCTTCTCCTCCAAAGGATCACATCTCCTCCCCAGCAAGGAAACAAAACTGGATGGAGAGTGTGTTTGACGAATTGAGAGAAGTAGGCTTCAGAAGGTGGGTAATAACAAACTCCTCTGAGCTAAAGGAGCATGTTCTAACCCAATGCAAGGAAGTCAAGAACCTTGAAAAAAGGTTAGACAAATTGTTAACTAGAATAACCAGTTTAGAGAAGAACATAAATGACCTGATGGAGCTGAAAAACACAGCAAGAGAACCTCGTGAAGCATACACAAGTATCAATAGCCAAATCAGTCAAGCAGAAGAAAGGGTAACAGAGATTGAAAATCAACTTAGTGAAATAAAGCGAGAAGACAAAATTAGAGAAAAAACAGTGAAAAGAAACGAACAAAAACTCCAGGAAATATGGGACTATGTGAAAAGACCAAATATACGTTTGATTATTGTACCTGAAAGTGACAGGGAGAATGAAACCAAGTTGGAAAACACTCTTCAGGATATTATTGAGGAGAACTTCCTCAACCTAGCAAGGCAGGCCAACATTCAAATTCAGGAAATACAGAGAACCACCATGAAGATACTCCTCGAGAAGAGCAACCCCAAGACACATAATCATCAGATTCACCAAGGTTGAAATGAAGGAAAAAATATTAAGGGCAGCCAGAGAGAAAGGTCAGTTTACTCACAAAGGGACGCCCATCAGACTAACAGTGGACTCTCAGCAGAAACTCTACAAGCCAGAAGAGAGTGGGGGCCAATATTTAACATTCTTAAAGAAAAGAATTTTCAACCCAGAATTTCATATCCAGCCGAATTAAGCTTCATAAATGAAGGAGAAATAAAACCCTTTACAGACAAGCAAATGCTGAGAGATTTTGTCACCATCAGGCTTTCCTTACAAGAGCTCCTGAAGGAAGCACTAAACATGGAAAGGAACAACTGGTACCAGCCACTGCAAAAACATGCCAAATTATAAAGACCATGGATGTTATGAAGAAACTGCATCAACTAATGGGCAAAATAACCAGCTAGCCTCATAATGAAAAGATCAGATTCACACATAACAATATTAACCTTAAATGTAAACAGGTTAAATGCCACAATTAAAAGACACAGACTGGCAAATTGGATAAAGAGTCAAGACTTACCAGTGTGCTGAATTCAGAGACCCATTTCATGTGCAAAGACTCACATAGGCTCAAAATAAAGGGGTGGAGGAATATTTACCAAGCAAAAGGAAAGCAAAAAAAAAGCAGGGGTTGCAATCCTAGCCCCTGATAAAACAACTTTAAGCCAACAAAGATCAAAAGAGACAAAGAAGGGCATTACATAAAGGTAAAGGGATCAATGCAACAAGAAGAGCTAACTATCCTAAATATATATGCACGCAATACAGGAGCACCCAGATTCATAAAGCAAGTTCTTAGAGAGCTACAAGGAGACTTAGACTCCCACACAATAATAGTGGGAGACTTTAACACCCCACTGTTAAACTCTCCACCTCTCCACCCCAAATCAACAGAATATACATTCTTCTCAACACCACATCACACTTATTCTAAAATTGACCACATAATTAGAAGTAAAACACTCCTCAGCAAATGCAAAAGAACTAAAAAAATGACAGACTCTCAACCACAGTGCAATCAAATTAGAACCCAGGATTAATAAACTGACTCAAAACCACATAACTACATGGAAACTGAGCAACCTGCTCCTGATGACTACTGGGTAATAATGAAATGAAGGCAAAAATAAAGATGTGACACAAAGACAATGAGAACAAGGAACCAACATACCAGAATCTCTGGTACACATTGAAAGCAGTGTGTAGAGGGAAATTTATAGCACTAAATGCCCACAAGAGAAAGCAGGAAAGATCTAAAATTGACAACCTAACATCACAATTAAAAGAACTAGAGAAGCAAGAGCAAACACATTCAAAAGCTAGCAAAAGACAAGAAATAAGATCAGAGCAGAACTGAAAGAGATAGAGACACAGAAAACCCTTCAAAAAAAAAATCCAGAAGCCGGTTTTTTGAAAAGATCAACAAAATAAATAGACTGCTAGCCAGACTAATAAAGAAGAAAAGAGAGAAGAATCAAATAGATGCAATAAAATTGATAAAGGGGATATCACCACTGATCCCACAGAAATACAAATGACCATCAGAGAATACTATAAACACCTCTATGCAAATAAACTAGAAAATCTAGAAGAAATGGATAAGTTCCTAGACACATACACCCTTCAAAGACTAAACCAGGACAAAGTCGAATCCATGAATAGACCAATAACAAGTTCTGAAATTGAGGCAGTAATTAATAGCCTACCAACCAAAAAAAGCCCAGGACCAGATGGATTCACAGTTGAATTCTACCACAGGTACAAAGAGAAGCTGGTACCATTGAGAGGTGAAGCCAGCTGGACTTCCTGGTTGGGTCGAGTGGGGACTTGAAGAACTTTTCTGTCTAGCTAAAGGTTTATAAATGCACCAATCAGCACACTGTAAAAACACACCAATTAGTGCTCTGTGTTTAGCTAAAGGTTTGTAAACTCACCAATCAACACCCTGTAAAAACGGACTAATCGGCACTCTGTAAAATGGACCAATCAGCAGGGTGTGGGCAGGGCCAAATAAGGCAATAAAAGCTGGCCACCTGAGCCAGCAGTGGCAACTTGCTTGGGTCCCCTTCCATGCTGTGGAAGCTTTGTTCTTTTGCTCTTCACAATAAATCTTGCTGCTGCTCACTTTTTGGGTCTGCACTACCTTTATGAGCTGTTAACACTCACTGTGAAGGTCTGTGGCTTCACTCCTGAAGTCAACGAGACCATGAACCCACCAGGAGCAACAAACCAACTCCAGATGCACCACCTTTAAGAGCTGTAACACTCACTGTGAAGGTCTGTGGCTTCACTCCTGAAGTCAAGCAAGACCATGAACCCACCAGAAGGAAGAAACTCTAGACACATCTGAACATCTGAAGGAACAAACTCTGGACACACCATCTTTAAGAACTGTAACACTCACCACGAGGGTCCACGGCTTCATTCTTGAAGTCAGTGAGACCAAGAACCCACCAGAAGGAAAAAATTCCGGACACATTTTGGCAACCACGAAGGGACTATCACCAAGCTGTGAGTACCATCAGACCCCTTTCACTTGCTATTCTGTCATATTTTTCCTTAGAATTCGGGGGCTAAATACCGGGTAACTGTTGGCCAGTTAAAAGCGACTAGCATGGCCACCGGACTAAAGACACGGGTGTCAGGCTTTCTAGGAAAGGGCTAACAACCCCTGACTCTTCGGAGTTGGCAGCATTGGTTTGCCTGGAACCAGCTTCTGCTTTTCCTGTACTTCTGGGCTGAGCCAAGGGTCAACAGAGAGGAAAGCCATTCAGCTCTGGGGTCCCGACAACAAGCTGGTTGACCCTGCGGCCATGAGTGGAACTCTTAAAGTCACATCACCCAAGCGAGACTCGCCCATTTATCCTATCTAACCTGACCCTTTCCTCCTGGGTCCTAACGTCTGTCAGACAAACTTCCTCCTGCCTCTCTTCTCTGAGGCTAGTCCTTCTTCTAAAAACCACTCCCTGTCTCTGGTGCTTTTCTAGTTTCTACTGTAAGAATGATTTCTAGTATAAACTTCAGGACTCTGTTACCTTCTTTAGGCACCTGGGCTCACCAATCAGAAAGACGTAATTTTTGCCCAAAGCCCTGTCGGGGCGGGCGACTATCTGGAATTTTAGGATCCCTCCTCAGACTAGCAGGCCTAACAAAAGCTATTCCTGAAGCTAGGATATGGGGAACTTCAGAAATGGTATCTTTCCTATCCATATAAGTGAGGACAAAAGGCATCACTCTTCCAGCCCTGGAGATCCCTTCCCTCCCTCAGGGTATGGCCCTCCACTTCATTTTTGGGGCATAACACCTTTATAGGACAGGGGTAAGGTCCCAATACTAACAGGAGAATGCTTAGGACTGTAACAGGTTTTCAAGAATGTGTCAGTAAGAGCCACGAAATCCAATTTTTCTCAGTCCTCTTTGTGGTCTAGGAAGACAGGCAAGGGTGCAGGTTTTCGAGAATGCGTTGGTAAGGGCCACTAAATCTGAGTTTCCTTAGTCCTCCTTGTGGTCTAGGAGGAAAACTAATGTTTCTGCTGCTGCATCAGTGAGCGCAACTATTCTGATCAGTAGGGTCCAGGGACCATTGAGGGTTCTTGGGCAGGGGTTGTTTCTGCTGCTGTGTCGGTGAGCACAACTATTCCAATCACCAGGGTCCAGGGACCGTTGTGGGTTCTTGGGCAGGCAGAGAAACAAACAAACCAAAACCATGGTTGGTTTTGTCTTTCAAATGGGAAACACTCAGGCATCAACAGGCTCACCCTTGAAATGCATCCTAAGCCATTGGGACCAATTTGACCCGCAAATCCTGAAAAAGAAGAAGCTCAATTTTTTCTGCACTACAGCTTGGCCCCAATATTCTCTCTCTGATGGGGAAAAATGGCCATCTGAGGGAAGTATAAATTACAATACTATCCTGCAGCTTGATCTTTTCTGTAAGAGGGAAGGCAAATGGAGTGAAATACCTTCTGTCCAAGCTTTCTTTTCACTGAAGGAGAATACATAACTATGCAAAGCTTGCAATTTACATCCCACAGGAGGATCTCTCAGCTTACCTCCATATCCTAACTCTCCTTTCAATTAACGATAGGCCTCTTCTAATCTCCCCCACCCAGAAGGAAACAAGCAAAGAAATCTCCAAAGGACTACAAAAACCCCTGGGCTATTGGTTATGTCCCCTTCAAGCTGTAGGGGGAGGGGAATTTGGCCCAACCTGGGTACATGTCTCCTTCTCCCTCTCTGATTTAAAGCAGATCAAGGCAGACCTGGGGAAGTTTTCAGATGGTCCTGATAGGTACATAGATGTCCTACAGGGTCCAGGGCAAACCTTCTATCTCACTTGGACAGATGTCATGCTATTGTTAGATCTAACCCTGGCCTTTAAAGAAAAGAATGTAGCTTTAGCTGAAGCCCTAGAGTTTGGAGATACCTGGTATCTTAGTCAAGTAAATGATAGAATGACAGCAAAAGAAAGGAACAAATTCCCTACCGGTCAGCAAGCCGACCCCAGTATGGATCCCCACTGGGACCTCGACTCAGATCAGGGGGACTGGAGTCACAAACATCTGTTGACCTGTGTTCTAGAAGGACTAAGGAGAATTAGGAAAAAGCCCATGAATTATTCAATGATGTCCACCATAACTCAGGGAAAGGAAGAAAATCCTTTTGCCTTCCTCAAGCAGCTACTGGAGGACTTACGAAAATATACTCCCATCACCCAACTCACTTGAGGGCCAATTGATCCTAAAACATAAGTTTATTACCCAATCAGCTGCAGATATCAGGAGAAAAGCACCAGCTCCAAAAGTGAGCCCTGGGCCCTGAACAAAATCTGGAGGCATTATTAAACCTGGCAACCTCGGTGTTCTATAATAGGGACCAAGAGGAACAGGCTGAAAAGGAAAAGGAGGATCAGAGAAAGGCCGCAGCCTTAGTCATGGCCCTTAGACAAACAAACCTTGGTGGTTCAAAGAGGACAGAAAATGGAGCAGGCCAGTCACCTGGTGGGCTTGTTACCAGTGTGGTTTACAAGGACACTTTAAAAATGATTGTCCAATGAGAAACAAGCTGCCCCCTCGCCCATGTCCTTTATGCCAAGGCAATCACTGGAAGGTGCACTACCCCAGAGGACAAAGGTTTTCTGGTCCAGAAGCCCCCAACCAGATGATCCAACAACAGGACTGACGGTGCAAGGGGCAAGCGCCAGCTCATGTCATCACCCTCACTGGGCCCTGGGTACGTTTAACCATTGAGGGCCAGGAAATTGACTTCCTCCTGGACACTGGCACAGACTTCTCAGTGTTAATCTCCTGTCCCAGACAACTGTCCTCAAGGTCCATTACCATCCAAGGAATCCTGGGACAGCCTGTAACCAGGTATTTCTCCCACCTCCTCAGCTGTAATTGGGAGACTTTGCTCTTTTCACATGCCTTTCTTTTTATGCCTGAAAGTCCCATACCCTTATTAGAGAGGGATATATTAGTGAAAGCTGGAGCTATTATCTACATGAATATGGAAAACAAGTTACTCATTTATTGTCCCCTGCTTTAGGAGGGAATCAACCCTGAAGTCTGAGCATTGGAAGGAACAAACTCAAGCTACAGCCTTAAGCCTTCCCAGAGGATGAAGCTTTTCTTTATACGTCACAGAGAGAGCAAGAATAGCTCTTGGGGTCCTTACTCAGACTTGTGGAACAACCCCATAACCAGTGGCATATCTAAGTAAGGAAATTGATATAGTAGCCAAAGGCTGGTCTCACTGTTTATGGGTAGTTGTGGTGGTGGCTGTCTTAGTGTCAGAGGCTGTCAAAATACTACAAGGAAAGGATCTCACTGTCTGGACTACTCATGATGTAAATGGCATACTAGGTGCCAAAGGAAGTTTATGGCTATCATACAACTGACTGCTTAGATACCAGGTGCTACTCCTTGAGGGACCAATGCTTCAAATATGCATGTGCACAACTCTCAACCCTGCCACTTTTCTCCCAGAGGATGGGGAACCAATCGAGCATGACTGCCAACAAATTGTAGTCCAGACTCATGCCACCTGAGATGATCTCTTAGAAGTCCCCTTAGCTAATCCTGTCCTTAACCTATACACCAATGGAAGTTCATTTCTGGAGAATGGGATATGAAGGGCAGGTCATGCCATAGTTAGTGATGTAACCATACTTGAAAGTAGGCCTCTTCTCCCAGGGACCAGCGCCCAGTTAGCAGAACTAGTGGCACTTACCCGAGCCTTAGAACTGGGAAAGGGAAAAAGAATAAATGTGTATACAGATAGCAAGTATGCTTATCTAATCCTACATGCCCATGCTGCAATATGGAAAGAAAGGGAGTTCCTAACCTCTGGGGGAACCCCCATTAAATACTACAAGGAAATTATGGAGTTATTGCATGCAGTGCAAAAACCCAAGGAGATGGCAGTCTTACACTGCTAAAGCCATCAGAAAGGTGAAGGAGAAAAGGCAGAAGGAAACTGTTGGGCAGATGCTGAGGCCAAAATTGCTGCCAGGCTGAACCTCCCATTAGAAATACCTGTGGAAGGACCCTTGGTATGGAACAACCCCTCCAAGAGATTAAGCCCCAGTATTCCCCAACTGAAACAGAGTGGGGACTTTCATGGGGGCATAGTTTTCTCCTCTCAGGGTGGTTAATGACAGAAAAAGAAAGGTACTTATGCCCAAAGCCAGCCAGTGGAAAATACTTAAAATCCTCCACCAAACTTTTCATATGGGTATTGAAAACACTCATCAAATGGCCAAATCCCTATGTACAGGGCCAAATCTCCTCTGGATCATCTGACAAGTAGTCAAAGCCTGTGAGGTGTGCCAAAGGAATAATCCCTTGGTCCATTGTAAGGCCCCTTTGGGGGAACAAAGAATAGGTCACTATCCTGGAGGGGACTGGCAGTTAGACTTCACCCATATGCCTAAGTCAAAGGGATTTCAATACTTGTTGGTCTGCATTGCTACCTTTACAAATTGGATAGAAGCTGTCCCCTGCAAGACAGAGAAGGCTCAGGAAGTGATTAAAGTCCTAATTCATGAAATAACTCCTAGATTCAGGCTTCCTCAAAGCTTGCAGAGTGACAATGGTTCAGCTTTTAAAGCCATGATAGGCCGGGCGCGGTGGCTCACGCCTGTAATCCCAGCACTTTGGGAGGCCGAGGCGGGCGGATCACGAGGTCAGGAGATCGAGACCATCCCGGCTAAAACGGTGAAACCCCGTCTCTACTAAAAATACAAAAAATTAGCCGGGCGTAGTGGCGGGCGCCTGTAGTCCCAGCTACTTGGGAGGCTGAGGCAGGAGAATGGCGTGAACCCAGGAGGCGGAGCTTGCAGTGAGCCGAGATCCCGCCACTGCACTCCAGCCTGGGCGACAGAGCGAGACTCCGTCTCAAAAAAAAAAAAAAAAAAAAAAAAAGCCATGATAACTCAGGGAATTTCCAGGGTGCCAGGAATACAATATCACTGCACCTGGAGGCCACAGTCCTCAGGGAAGGTGGAGAAGGCAAATGAAACACTCAAGAGGTATTTAAGGAAACTAACACAAGAAACTCAACTTCCATGGCCTACTTTTTTGCCCATGGCCTTGTTGAGAATCTGAAATTCTCCTCACAAAATGGGGCTCAGTCCATATGAAATGCTATATGGACGACCTTTTCTTACAAATGACCTCCCACTTGATCAGGAAATGGCCAACTTGGTCAAAGATATAACTTTTTTGGCAAAATATCAAAAAAACCTTAAAAACCTACCTGAAGGATGTCACAGAGAAAAGGGAACAGAGTTGTTTCAACCAGGAGATCTAGTGTTGGTCAAATTTCTCCCCTCTACCTCCCCATCTATGAACTCTTTGTGGGAAGGACCATATTCGGTAATCCTCTCTATCCCCACTGCAGTTAAGGTGGCAGGAGTGGAATCTTGGATTCACCACACCCAAGTTAAATTTTGGACACCCCCTGAGGAACCTCTGGTACCATCAGCTCAGGGGTCCCAAGATCAGCCAGACCAGCCTCGATACACCTGCGAACCGTTGGAGGACTTGCACCTCCTATATTGGAAGGAAACATCCCAGACAAAAAAGGTTCCTACCACTGATCCTGAAGAAAAACCCCTTCCTCCTTAAAAAAGATAAGTGAAAACCTACATAATCTTTATCTTTAACACCTCTCCTTGCCTCTTTAATGGAATCCTTCTACATTTCATCATATTATTAAGCAGCATACTAACCATACTCTTTGCCATAGGACTATATACTGGCTCCTGCTGGGACAAAAATCCTAACCACATCAACCTTCTTTTTATCTTCCTTCCTTCTGACAGCAATTTACTCTTACCTTTAACTCAGACTGGATAAAATGATCTCGTCTTCCAGAACACCCTCTTTACCTTCCTATTTACTCTTTGCCTATCTATCCCTCCTACTTCCTTGGATACCTCATACAATTGCCCCTCCCCTTCCACTACCTCCTAATTACCTCTACAAGACTCTCAACTTAACCCACTCTCTGCTAAGCCAGTCCAATCCTTCCCTGGAAAATGACTGTTGGCTTTGTATCTCTCTATCAACTTCTGCTTACGTTGCCACTCCCATTCCCACAAAAAACTGGGTCTTTACCAACTTAACCTACCACCCTTGTTAAGAAGGAAAAGACCCTTTCCGGACTTCTAAATATTCAGTCATTAGCCAAGTTCCCCATCTCTGATAGGACCAAGAATACCCTAACAGGACATGCAATCCAACTTTTATGTTCTTACATTTCCAACCTCACCTATTACACAAGCAATGAAAAGCCCATACATGGCCCTGTAACTACGAATACTATCTTAACTTTCCAAGTCCCTTAATGCATCCAATGCAACCTGTTATCAGGCCTGCCCCTGGGGCACCTACCACCGCATCAGTGTAATTACACCCTACAACTTCAAGCCCCAACTGATCACAGTAACTTCCAAGTCATTCAAACAGCTCGATTCAGATGGCCTGTCTGCTTCTCAGGGCCTCCAAAAATCATCACCTCCTCCCTGCTTAACAAACAGTCCAGGTTTTGTAATGGCAAACATACTCCCTGCATGACCATTCACTCCTGGACCCCCTGCAGCAGCGCCCCCACCACTAGTGAATGCCTTCTCATCCCCTCTTTCAATCACTCTCTCGAATGGTTCCTAGTAGATACAAAACAGTTTTTTCTCCAATAGGAAAATAGAACACAGGGAGCCACTCAGTTTGCTCCCAACACCCCTTTCCAGCCACTCACCAGAGCTACCTTGGCAAGTACTCTAGGAGTATGGGAAAATGAAAACAACAAACTCACACACCATTTTAACATACACAATCAGGTCTGCCCACCCAGCCAAGGTATATTCTTTGTATGTGGAACATCGACCTATATCTGCCTCCCCACTAACTAGACAGCCACCTGAATCTTAGTCTTTCTAAGTCCCAACAGTAACATTGCCCCAGGAAATCAGACCATATCAGTATCCCTCAAAGCTCAAGTCTGTCAGTGCAGAGCCATACAACTAATACCCCTACTTATAGGGTTAGGAATGGCTACTGCTACAGGAACCAGAATAGCTAGTTTGTTTACTTCATTATCCTACTACCACACACTCTCAAATGATTTCTCAGACAGTTTGCAAGAAATAACGAAATCTATCCTTACTCTACAATCCCAAATAGACTCCTTGGCAGCAGTGACCCTCCAAAACGGCTGAGGCCTAGACCTCCTCACTGCCAAGAAAGGAGGACTCTGCATTTTCTTAGGGGAAGAGTGTTTTTACACTAACCAGTCAGGGACAGTATGAGATGCCACTCGGAGTTTACAGGAAAAGGCTTCTGAAGTCAGACAATGCCTTTCAAACTCTATACCAAACTCTGGAGTTGGGCAACATGGCTTCTCCCCTTTCTAGGTCCCGTGACAGCCATCTTGCTATTATTTGCCTTTGAGCCCTGTATTTTTAATCTCCTTTTCAAATTTGTTTCCTCTGGATCGAGGCCATCGAGCTACAGATGGTCTTCACAAATGGAACCCCAAATGAGCTCAACTAACAACTTCTACTGAGGACCCCTGGACTAACCTGCTGACCCTTTCACTGGCCTGAAGAATTCCCCTCTGGAGGACACTACAACTGCAGGGCTCCTTCTTTGCCCCTATCCAGCAGGAAGTAGCTAGAGCTGTCATTGCCTAATTCCTAACAGCAGTTGGGGTGTCCTCTTTAGAGGGGAGACCGAGAGGTGAAGCCAGTTGGACTTCCTGGGTCAAGTGGGGACTTGGAGAACTTTTCTGTCTAGCTAAAGAATTGTAAACGCACCAATCAGCACTCTGTAAAAATGCACCAATCAGCACTCTGTGTCTAGATAAAGGTTTGTAAATGCACCAATCAGCACTCTGTAAAAATGGACCAATCAGCACTCTGTAAAATGGAGCAATCAGCACTCTCTAAAATGGACCAATCAGCAGAATGTGAGTGCGGCCAAATAAGGGAATAAAAGCTGGCCACCTGAGCCAGCAGTGGCAACCCGCTCGGGTCCCCTTCCATGCTGTGGAAGCTTTGTTCTTTTGCTCTTCACAATAAATCTTGCTGCTGCTCACTCTTTGGGTCCGCACTACCTTTATGAGCTGAACACTCACTGCGAAGGTCTGCGGCTTCACTCCTGAAGTCAGTGAGACCACGAACCCACTGGGAGGAACAAACAACTCCAGATGCGCCACCTTTAAGAGCTTTAACACTCACTGCGAAGGTCTGCGGCTTCACTCCTGAAGTCAAGTGAGACCACAAACCCACCAGAAGGAATAAATTCCGGACACACCATCTTTAAGAACTGTAACACTCACCGTGAGGGTCCGCGGCTTCATTCTTGAAGTCAGCGAGACCAAGAACCCACTGGAAGGAACAAATTCCAGACACACCATTCCTTCTGAAACTATTCCAAACAATAGAAAAAAAGAGGGAATCCGCTCTAACCATTTTATGAGGCCAGTATCATCCTAACACCAAAACCTTGCAGACACAACAAAAAAAGAAAATTTCAGGCCAATATCACTGATGAACATCGATGCAAAAATCCTAAATAGAATACTGACAAACTGAATCCAGCAGCACATCAAAAAGCTTATCCACTGTGATCAAGTCTGCTTCATCCCAGGGATGCAAGTCTGGTTCAACATATGCAAATCAATAAACATAATCCATCACATAAACAGAACCAATGACAAAAATCACATGATTATCTCAATAGATGCAGAAAAGGCCTGTGACAAAATTCAACAAACCTTCATGTTAAAAACTCTCAATAAACTAGGTACTGATGGAACATATTTCAAAATAATAAGAGCTATTTATGACAAACCCACAGCCAATATCATACTGAATGGGCAAAAGCTGGAAGCATTCCCTTTGAAAACCAGCACAAGACAAGGATGCCCTCTCTCACCACTCCTATTCAACATAGTAGTAGAAGTTCAGGCCAGGGCAATGAGGCAAGAGAAAGCAATAAAGTGTATTCAAATAGAAAAAGAGGGAGTCAAATTGTTTCTGTTTGCAGATGACATGGTTGTAGATTTAGAAAACCTTATTGTGTCGGCCCCAAATCTCCTTGAGCTGATAAGAAACTTCAGCAAAGTCTCAGAATACAAAATCAATGTGCAAAAATCACAAACGTTCCTATACACCAATAATGGACAAACAGAGCCAAATCATGAATGAACTCCCATTCACAATTGCTATAAAGATAATAAAATACCTAGGAATACAACTTACAAGGAACGTGAAGAACCTCCTCAAGGAGAACTACAAACCACTGCTCTAGGAAATAAGAGAGGACCAAATGGTAAAACATTCCATGCTCATGGATAGGAAGAATCAATATCGTGAAAATCGACATAGTGCCCATAGTAATTTACAGATTCAATGCTATCACCATCAAGCTACTGCTGACTCTCTTCACAGAATTAGAAAAAACTACTTTAAATTTCATATGGAACCAAAAAAGAGCCCATATAGCCAAGACAATCCTAAGCAGAAAGAGCAAAGCTGGAGGCATCATGCTACCTGACTTCAAACTATACTACAAGCCTACAGTAACAAATACAGCATGGTACCAGTACCAAAAAAGATATATAAGCCAATGGAACAGAACAGAAGCCTCAGAAATAATGCCATACATCTACAACCACCTGATCTTCGATAAATCTGACAAAAACAAGCAATGGGGCAAGGATTCCCTATTTAATAAATGGTTTTGTCTAGTCATATGCAGAAAGCTGGCACTGGATCCCTTCCTTACACCTTATACAAAAATTAACTCAAGATGGATTAAAGACTTAAATGTAAGAACTAAAACCATAAAAATCCTAGAAGAAAACCTAGGCAATACCATTCAGGACACAGACATGGGCAAAGACTTCATGACTAAAACACCAAAAGCAATGGCAACAAAAGCCAAAATAGACAAACCATATCTAATTAAACTAAAGAGCTTCTACACAGCAAAAGAAACTATCATCAAAGTGAACCAGCAACCTACAGAATGGCAGAAAATTGTTGCAATCTATCCATCTGACAAAGGGCTAATATCCAGAATCTTCAAGGAACTTAAATTTACAAGAAAAAAATACAACCCCATCAAAAAGTGGATGAAGGATATGAACATACACTTCTCAAAAGAAGACATTTATGCAGCCAACAAATATATGGAAAAAAGCTCATCATCATTGGTCATTAGTGAAATGCAAATCAAAACGACAATGAGATAACATTTCATGCCAGTTAGAATGGCAATCATTAAAATGTGCAGGAAACAACAGATGCTGGATAGGGTGTGGAGAAATAAGAATGCTTTTACACTGTTGATGGGAGTGTAAATTAGTTTACCCATTGTGGAAGACAGTGTGGTGATTCCTCAAGGATCTAGAACTAGAAACACCATTTGACTCAGCCATCCCAATCCTGGGTATATATTCAAAGGATTATAAATCATTCTACTATAAAGACACATGCACACGTATGTTTATTGCGGCACTGTTCACAACAGCAAAGACTTGCAACCAACCCAAATGCCCATCAATGATAGACTGGATAAAGAAAATGTGGCACACATACACCATGGAATACTATGTAGCTATAAAAAAGGATGAGTTCATGTCCTTTGCAGGGACATGGATGACGCTGGAAACCACCATTCTCAGCAAACTAACACAAGAATAGAAAACCAAACATCGCATGTTCTCACTCATAAGTGGGAGCTGAACAATGAGAATACATGGACACAGGGAGGGGAACATCACACACTGGGGCCTACCAGGAGGTGGCTGGCTAGGGGAGGGATAGCACTAGGAGAAATACCTAATGTAGATGACGAGTTGATGGGTGCAGCAAACCACCATGGCATGGGTATACCTATGTAACAAATCTGCATGCTCTGCACATGTACCCCAGAACTTAAAGTATAATGAAAAAAAAACTAATAGACTAAATAAGATTATAACTTAGTCTTACTGCTATTAAAGATAAGAAACCAAAATATCATATGCATTTTTTTCTAGGAAGAAATGTCTGGACAAAAGTGAAGACAATTCACAATCTCTTATCAAATATGCTGGGGGCCAGATGTATTTTAGAACATAATATAGTTTGGATTTTGAAAAGATAGAATATTGATGATACCTAGTATTACCTAACACCTCAAAGGGGCCTGGAGCAGCATTCCATAATCAAGCATGTTAACATTTCTTAAGTGAAATGTTAAGACTTAAAATAAGTACTATAAATAAAAACTAAACAGTCTTTCTCCCTTTTTTTCTGGTCAAGGTTTGCAGCTGGATGAATAAAGAAAACAGTTTCAGTTTTCAGACCTCCCTTGAATATTAATGTTGTGAATAAGGGAATATGAACTTGTGCTGTTTTTGAGTGTATAATATAGGCTACATCAAGGTCTAAAGACATAACAGTGGACCATAATTCCTGAACTTACATATATGAAAATCTATATTTAAAAACTTCTATGCATCACATTGAACATATTTGTAGTTTTCAAAAACTAAACTTGAGTGAAAGAACTTTGCATGCATAAAAATGTCTCTGTTTGCAAGAGCTGATAGAACATTTATATATATATATTGATCCTGTATTTGGCCATAATATGAACATCAATATATTATTAGAAGACCTACAAATTGTAAAGATAACATCTTTTATCATGTTTGATATGAAACTAGGAATTTTAAAAAGAAAATATAAAAACTAACAGAAAATTTCTGCCCTTTTAACATGAAAATATTAATATTAATAACTATCTCCATAATATTGTGTCAAAGAGGCAATAACATCTGAAATCACAAATTTTTTAGAAAAAAATAATCCCTGCATATATGAAATTATGAGATATAGTGATACAGTAAAAGTAGAGCATAGAAGAAAAGATATAGGCTAAATGTCACTTAACTAATGAAAAAATACTAGATAAATTAAGAAAATATTCAACTCTAGAAAGAAAATAAAGTGAACATTGCTTAAAGTAAGAAAAGGATGGAATCAGTAAAGAAAAAAAAATTAGATCATTGAACCAACTATTAAACAAACCAAAAGAACTTTCTTTTCGTGAATGAATAGTAAAAGAAATTATTTGAAAACCTATGTAAAAATAAAGGAATAGAAATACACAAAATAAGATACAAAATGGGAGATAAACAGTACAGTGGAAATTGAACTACGAAAGCTTGGTTTCTAAAATCTATAAAAATATATTTGGGTGGGGGGTGGAGCCAAGATGGCCAAATAGGAACAGCTCCAGTCTACAGCTCCCAGCGTGAGTGAGGAAAAGACGGGTGATTTCTGCAATTCCAACTGAGGTACCAGGTTCATCTCACTGGGGAGTCTTGGACAGTGGGTGCAGGATAGTGGGTGCAGCGCACCAAGCATGAGCCGAAGCAGGATGAGGTATCCTCCCACCTGGGAAGTGCAAGGGGTCAGGGAATTCCCTTTCCTAGTCAAAGAAAGGGGTGACAGATGGCACCTGGAAAATCGGGTCACTCCCACCCTAATACTTCACTTTTCCAACAGTCTTAGCAAACGGCACACCAGGAGATTATATCCTGCGCCTGGCTCAGAGGGTCCTACACCCACGGAGCCTCGCACTTTCCTAGCATAGCAGTCTGAGTTCAAACTGCAAGGCAGCAGCGAGGCTGGAGGAGGGGCGCCAGCCATTGCCGAGGCTTGAGTAGGTAAACAAAGGGGCCGGGAAGCTGGAACTGGGTGGAGCCCACCGCAGCTCAAGGAGGCCTGCCTGCCTCTGTAGACTCCACCTCTGGGGGCAGGGCATAGCCAAACAAAAGGCAGTGGAAACCTCTGCAGACTTAAATGTCCCTGTCTGACAACTTTGAAAAGAGTAGTGGTTCTCCTAGCACGCAGCTGGAGATCTGAGAATGGACAGACTGCCTCCTCAAGTGGGTCCCTGACCCCCAAGTAGCCTAACTGGGAGGCACCCCCCCAGTAGGGGCAGACTGACACCTCACATGGCTGGGTACTCCTCTGAGATGAAACTTCCAGAGGAACGATCAGGCAGCAACATTTGCTGTTCACCAATATTCACTGTTCTGCAGCCTCCGCTGCTGATACCCAGGCAAAGAGGGTCTGGAGTGGACCTCTGGCAAACTCCAACAAACCTGCAGCTGAGGGTCTTGACTGTTAGAAGGAAAACTAACAAACAGATAGGACATCCACACCAAAACCCCATCTGTAGGTCACCATCATCAAAGACTAAAGGTAGATAAAACCACAAAGATGGGGAAAAAACAGAGCAGAAAAACTGGAAACTCTAAAAATCGAGCACCTCTCTTCCTCCAAAGGAACACAGCTCCTCACCAGCAACGCAACAAAGCTGGATGGAGAATGACTTTGACTAGTTGAGAGAAGAAGGCTTCAGATGATCAAATTACTCTGAGCTAAAGGAGGAAGTTCGAACCCATGGAAAAGAACTTAAAAACCTTGAAAAAAGATTAGACTAATGGCTAACTAAAATAACCAATGCAGAGAAGTCCTTAAAGGACCTGATGGAGCTGAAAACCACGGCACGAGAACTACATGACAAATGCACAAGCCTCAGTAGCTGATTCGATCAACTGGAAGAAAGGGTATCAGTGGTGGAAGATCAAATGAATGAAATGAAGTGAGAAGAGAAGTTTAGAGAAAAAAGAATAAAAAGAAATGAACAAAGCCTCCAAGAAATATGGGATTATGTGAAAAGACCAAATCTACGTCTGATTGGTGTACCTTAAAGTGACGGGGAGAATGGAACCAAGTTGGAAAACACTCTGCAGGATATTATCCAGGAGAACTTCCCCAATCTAGCAAGGCAGGCCAACATTCAAATTCAGGAAATACAGAGAATGCCACAAAGATACTCCTTGAGAAGAGCAACTCCAAGACACATAATTATCAGATTCACCAAGGTTGAAATGAAGGAAAAACTGTTAAGAGCAGCCAGAGAGAAAGGTCGGGTTACCCACAAAGGGAAGCCCATCAGACTAACAGCTGATCTCTCAGCAGAAACTCTACAAGCCAGAAGAGAGTGGGGGCCAATATTCAATATTCTTAAAGAAAAGAATTTTCAACCCAGAATTTCATATCCAGCCAAACTAAGCTTCATAAGTGAAGGAGAAATAAAATACTTTACAGACAAGCAAATGCTGAGAGATTTTGTCACCACCAGGCCTGCCCTAAAAGAGCTCCTGAAGGAAGCACTAAACATGGAAAGGAATAACCAGTACCAGCCACTGCAAAAACATGCCAAAATGTAAAGACCATCGAGGCTAGGAAGAAACTGCATCAACTAAAGAGCAAAATAACCAGCTAACATCATAATGACAGGATCAAATTCACACATAACAATATTAACCTTAAATGGGTTAAATGCTCCAATTAAAAGACACAGACTGGCAAATTGGATAAAGAGTCAAGACCCATCAGTGTGCTGTACTCTTAGCAAGACTAATAAAGAAGAAAAGAGAGAAGAATCAAATAGAAGCAATAAAAAATTATAAAGGGGATATCACCACCGATCCCACAGAAATACACACTACCATCAGAGAATACTATAAACACCTCTACGCAAATAAATTAGAAAATCTAGGAGAAATGGATAAATTCCTCAACACATACACTCTCCCAAGACTAAAGCAGGAAGAAGTTGAATCTCTGAATAGACCAATTACAGGCTCTGATATTGAGGCAATAATTAATAGCTTACCAACCAAAAAAAAGTCCAGGACCAGATGGATTCACAGCCGAATTCTGCCAGAGGTACAAGGAGGAGCTGGTACCATTCCTTCTGAAACTCTTCCAATCAATAGAAAAAGAGGGAATCCTACCTAACTCATTTTATGAGGCCAGCATCATTCTCATACCAAAGCCTGCCAGTGACACGACAAAAAAAGAGAATTTTAGACCAATATCCCTGATGAACATCAATGCAAAAATCCTCAATAAAATACTGGCAAAACAAATCCGGCAGCACATCAAAAAGCTTATCCACCATGATCAAGTGGGCTTCATCCCTGGGATGCATGGCTTGTTCAACATATGCAAATCAGTAAACATAATCCAGCATATAAACAGAACCAACGACAAAAACCACATGATTATCTCAATAGATGCAGAAAAGCCCTTTGACAAAATTCAACAACACTTCATGCTAAAAACTCTCAATAAATTAGGTATTGATGGGACATATCTCAAAATAATAAGAGCTATCTATGACAAACCCACAGCCAATATCATACTGAATGGGCAAAAACTGGAAGCATTCCCTTTGAAAACTGGCACAAGACAGGGATGCCCTCTCTCACCACTCCTATTCAACATAGTGTTGGAAGTTCTGGCCAGGGCAATCAGGCAGGAGAAGGAAATAAAGGGTATTCAATTAGGAAAAGAGAAAGTCTAATTGTCCCTGTTTGCAGATGACATGATTGTATATCTAGAAAACCCCATCATCTCAGCCCAAAATCTCCTTAAGCTGATAGGCAACTTCAGCAAAGTCTCAGGATACAAAATCAATGTGCAAAAATCACAAGCATTCTTATACACAAATAACAGACAAACAGAGAGCCAAATCATGAACGAATTCCCATTCACAATTGCTTCAAAGAGAATAAAATACCTAGGAATCCAACTTACAAGGGATGTGAAAGACCTCTTCAAGGAGAACTACAAAGCACTGCTCAATGAAATAAAAGAGGACACAAACAAATGGAAGAACATTCCATGCTCGTGGGTAGGAAGAATCAATATTGTGAAAATGGACACAGTGCCCAAGGTAATTTATAGATTCAATGCCATCCCCATCAAGCTACCAATGACTTTCTTCACAGAATGGGAAAAAACTACTTTAAAGTTCATATGGAACAAAAAAGAGCCCACATTGCCAAGTCAATCATTAGCCAAAAGAACAAAGCTGGAGGCATCACGCTACCTGACTTCAAACTATACTGCAAGGCTACAGTAACCAAAACAGCATGGTACTGGTACCAAAACAGAGATATAGACCAATGGAACAGAACAGAGTCCTCAGAAATAATGCCGCATATCTACAACCATCTGATCTTTGACAAACCTGACAAAAAGAAGAAATGGGGAAAGGATTCCCTATTTAATAAATGGTGCTGGGAAAACTGGCTAGCCATATGTAGAAAGCTGAAACTGGATCCCTTCCTTACACCTGATACAAAAATTAATTCAAGACGGATTAAAGACTTAAATGTTAGACCTGAAATGATAAAAACCCTAGAAGAAAACCTAGGCAATACCATTCAGGACATAGGCATGGGCAAGGACTTCATGTCTAAAACACCAAAAGCAATGGCAACAAAAGCCAAAATTGACAAATGGGATCTAATTAAACTAAAGAGCTTCTGCACAGCAAAAGAAACTACCATCAGAGTGAACAGGCAACCTACAGAATGGGAGAAAATTTTTGCAATCTACTCATCTGACAAAGGGCTAATATCCAGAATCTACAATGAACTCAAACAAATTTACAAGAAAAAAACAAACAACCCCATCGAAAAGTGGGCGAAGGATATGAACAGACACTTCTCAAAAGAAGACATTTATGCAGCCAAAAAACACATGAAAAAATGCTCATCATCACTGGTCATCAGAGAAATACAAATCAAAACCACAATGAGATACCATCTCACACCAGTTAGAATGGCAATCATTAAAAAGTCAGGAAACAACAGGTGCTGGAGAGGATGTGGAGAAATAGGAACACTTTTACACTGTTGGTGGGACTGTAAACTAGTTCAACCATTGTGGAAGTCAGTGTGGCGGTTCCTCAGGGATCTAGAACTAGAAATACCATTTGATCCAGCCATCCCATTACTGGGTATATACCCAAAGGATTATAAATCATGCTGCTATAAAGACACATGCACATGTATGTTTATCGCTGCACTATTCATAATAGCAAAGACTTGGAACCAAGCCAAATGTCCAACAATGATAGACTGGATTAAGAAAATGTGGCACATATACACCATGGAATACTATGCAGCCATAAAAAATGATGAGTTCATGTCCTTTGTAGGGACATGGGTGAAGCTGGAAACCATCATTCTCAGCAAACTATCGCAAGGACAAAAAGCCAAACACCGCATGTTCTCACTCATAGGTGGGAATTGAACAATGAGAACACATGGACACAGGAAGGGGAACATCACACACCGGGGCCTGTTGTGGGGTGGGGGAGGTGGGAGGGATAGCATTAGGAGAGAAACCTAATGCTAAATGACGAGTTAATGGGTGCAGCACACCAACATGGCACATGTATACATGTGCAACAAACCTGCACATTGTGCACACGTACCCTAAAACTAAAGTATGATAAAAATATATATATATATTTCAAAACAAGTAGAATGATTTTCTAGCAAAATATTGAAACTAACTTCAGAAGAGTTAGAAATTCTAATCCAACTAGTTATTATAAAAGGAATTGAGAACATAATCAAATAATTGCAATTTCCCTCAAAATGCCAGGCATGATGAATTGTATAAAATATTAAAGGAAAAAAAATTTCTAGGCTGTTTAAACCATCCCAAATCATAAAAAGAAGAAAAACTTCCAGATTATTTTAATGAAATATATATATATATTATATAAACATCACAAAAATAGAATAAAACAAAAACTACGGTAATTTCATTTATATCTGTTAATGAAAACAATGCTAATTGAAATACCAGAAAAAAAAGTCCCATGTAATATAATCAAGCGAGGTTAATTGTTGAGATGCAAATGTGGTTCAATGTTAACAATTCAATTTACTAATAGACCAATAGAGAAAATTCATAATATGCAAGGACTTTCCTAACATTCAATATGATTTGCATTCTTCATAACATGTAAATCTATAGATAATTTCTTAATACATCATGGCAAATATTTAGTGATTAAAATATTGGAAACATTTTTCTTACAATTGGCAACAAGAGAAGAATGTGTAATATTCAATATTCTTATGGCTGTACTTGCAGGTACAACTTGAAAAGATGAAACAATTAAAATTAGAGAGGAAGATTCTACTTTTGACTAAAAGGAAGTAATAAAGACCAGATTTACTCTGTTGTCTTGTGATGGACACACCCTAGGTTCACTCCCAATAAATCATATAATTTTCCTCCCCTTGAGTCCATACTGGACCTGTGATCTGCTTCAAGTGAATAGAACATGGGAAAGATAAAAGGATTTTACAGATAGAGTTAAGGTTCCAAATCAGTTGAGTCTGAGTCAATCAAAAAGGAGATTGTCATGGCTGGGCTTGACTTTATAAAGTTGCCCTACAAGTAGTGTTGCAAGAGGAACTCATAGCAAGAAACTGCAGGTTACTTGTAGGAGCTGAGAGCAGCCATTGGATGAGAGATGGAAGAAAATGGGGATCTCAGCCCTACAGCTGCAAGGAATTGAATTCCATCAACAACCACATGAGCTTGGAAGAAGACACCCAGTTCCAGAAGAGAACTCAGTTCTGCCAACACCTTGACTTCAAGCTTATGAGACCTTAACCACAGAACCCTATTATGCCATATCTGGACTCTTGGCCCATAGAAACTGTGAGATAATACAAGTATGTGTTGTTTTAAGCTACTAACTTTGTGGTAACTTACTGCACAGGAACAGAAACTAATACACACTTCAAATAACTAGAAAACCAGACAAAATATATGAAGTAGTTTAACTGCCTGGACAACAAGCGATACACAGGAATGTGATTCCTACAATAAGAGAAATAAAATGAGCCTTGTAATTTTACCAGCTTTCTGCCTAGAGTCAGTATCTAGGCTGCAGTGCAAGGAAGAAAAAATTTAAACAGGTGGCTGCAGTCTCCCTGAATTAAGGAGACAGACATTACAGTCCTGGGAGTCTAAGAGAGCTGGATTTTACAGGGTACAGTACTGGCGGGAAATTATTGCAACAGAGCTGTGGATATTTGCAGAGGTCTTTCTGAATATTTGGCTAAATACTAATCAGCCCACACAGACCTAGGCATAGTTTGTGCTCCGTGGTAGAAAGACCTTCTAATACATGGGCATTGGGTAGAATCTTCAGCCCGGCATCACGTTAGGAGTGGGGCCAAATTAACCCCTAGAATAATGGCTGCTCTGGACCTGCCCTCTGAAGATTTAAAGCAAGCCTCGAAATGTTTTTACCTATTTTAATTAAATGCCTACCAAAACAAAACCCAAAACTATCTTAAGAAATACAACAAAATCCAACAATTAACCATGTAAAAATAACAATATCTGGCATCCAATAAAAAAACACCAGGTAGACAAGCAAGAAAATATATTCCATAATTAGGAGAGAAATTAGTAATGGAAACCAACCAGAGCTTCCGGCGTCTCCTACGGGCCCCCTGGTCGGCTTCTGCGGTCTCCATGACGGTGGCCGTGTTCTTCAGCTGCGCCTTCACTGCCTTCTGGCCTGCGCTCGCCCTCTAAGTCTTCACCATCACCACCGAGCCGTTGCACGCTGGTCATCATCTTGCTGCACGTGTTCTGGGACATTGTATTTTTTGATGGCTGCGAGAAGAAAAGGTGGTACATCCTTCTTATAGTTCTCCTGACCCGTCTGCTGGTGTCAGCCTGCACCTTCGTAAGTCCTCATTATGGAATAAACCTGCTGTCGGCATTTATAATCCTGGTGCTCATGGGCATCTGGGTATTCTTTGTTGCAGGAGGCAGCTGCCGAAGCCTCAAACTCTGCCTAATCTGCCAAGACAAGGACTTTCTTCTTTACAACCAGCGCTCCAGATAACCTGTGGGAATCAGCACTTCCCAAACTGCAGACTACATCTTTTAGAGGAAGCACAACTGTGCCTCTTTCTAAAAAATCCCTTTTTTCAGGTGGAATTGAGAAAAAAAACAAAACTATCCAGATACGTGTTCCTTTCACTTGGCTTTCACACAACCGCTCTCCGAAAGGGATGCCTCAGTCTTGTGCGTCCTGGCTGCACGGGAATCACCCGGGGCAATATAAATCCTACTGATTCTGGGCTCCACTCTCCAGAGTTAATTGGCCTGGGCACATGGTGAGTTTTAAAAGCTTCCCAGGTGATTCTGATATGCAGCCAGGCAGAGAACCACTGGTTTGTTATCCAAATAGGAGTTCCCTGAGAACACAATAAGTGAATGACAATCTGGTGTTTAACTGTCTCCTAATCCAATTTGTACTGAGCAAGTAAGTATCTGAATGTCAAATTGTGGTTAACTTTTATCTTTGTAGTTCTGAAGTCACTAAAGGCTAAAGGGCTATGGCCTCTGTTAACTGTTTTCGTGTACTTCACTAGTACCGTCTTAGAGCACGGTAGGCTGGGCTTCTAAATGCAATCATAAATTACACTGACCGACTATGATAATTTAGCCAAAGTAAGATACTGGTTAAGTTGTATTTTTCTGAAGTTCTTCCATTCCAGGTTTTGCTTTCTGAGGCATTACATTGTTTTTGAGTATAGATTACATTTTATTAACTACAAATGATTGTTTTCTGACTTCCTGGGGAAGGTATTCTAAAATCAAGAATTTTTATGCAATGTCTGTAAGTCCTTCCCCTGTTTAAAGCCTTCCATGGGCTCTGCCCCAAGGCCGTTGGCTGCAGTGTTCACCACCTGAGTGCCAGTTACTGGGCTAGTTGAGGTGAAGTGCATTGTTTTATCTCTGAGCAGCTGTGCAGGAAGCTGAGTGATGTGTCCTGGGACAGGCTTCACTGGAGCTGGTGGAAGTATAAACAGAAGCACGAGGAAATGAGCCAAAAGGGTGTTGTTGACACTTGCATTTGCTCCCGTGATATTAACACTTTCACCTAAATGCATCGGGGAACCTGCCCTGATAATCACGTAGGTTCTTTTCTATTCTCCCTAAGCGTTGGGTGGTTTGAGAAATAAAGGGACAGAGTACAAAAGAGAGAAATTTTAAAGCTGGGCATCCAGGGGAGACATTACATGTCGGTAGGTTCCGTGATTTCCCCCAAGCTGCAAAACCAGCAAGTTTTTATTAGGGAGTTTCAAAAGGGGAGGGAGTGTACGAATAGGGTGTGGGTCACAGACGTCAAGTACTTCACAAGGTAATAGAATATCACAAGGCAAATGGAGGCAGGGCGAGATCACAGGACCACAGGACTGGGGCGAAATTAAAATTGCTAATGAAGTTTCGGGCACCATTGTCATTGATAACATCTTATCAGGAGACAGGATTTTGAGAGCAACCAGTCTGACCAAAATTTATTAGGCGGGAATTTCTTCTTCCTAGTAAGCCTGGGAGCGCTATGCGAGACTGGGGTCTATTTCACCCCTGCAGTCTACAGACCATAAAAGATGGCCACACCCGGGGGTCTGTCTATAGACCTACCCCCAGGTGTGTATTCTCTTCCCCAGGGATGTTCCTTGCTGAGAAAAAGAATTCAGCGATATTTCTCCCATTTGCTTTTGAAAGAAGAGAAATATGGCTCTGTTCCGCCCAGCTCACCGGTGGTCAGAGTTTAAGGTTATCTCTCTTATTCCCTGAACAATTGCTGTTATCCTGTTCTTTTTTCAAGGTGCCCAGATTTCATATTGTTCAAACACATGTGCTCTACAATTTGTGCAGTTAACGCAATTATCACATGGTCCTGAGGCAACATACATCCTCCTCAGTTTACAAGGTGACAGGATTAAGAGATTAAAGTAAAGACAGGCCTAGGAAATCACAAGGGTATTGAATGGGGAAGTGATAAGTGTCCATGAAATCTTCACAATTTATGTTTAGAGATTGCAGTAAAGACAGACATAAGAAATTATAAAAGTATTAATTTGGGGAACTAATAAATGTCCATGAAATCTTCACAATCCATGTTCTTCTGCCATGGTTTCAGCCAGTCCCTCCGTTTGGGGTCCCTGACTTCCCACAACATAAATGGTTTAATGTAAAATTGGAAATAGATCTTAAACTGCCAAATCTCACCCTACTGTACAATTCATATGCTCTTTAGATCTAGTCAATATTTCTGGGTTTTGGTAGCAGATATGGCATTCCCTTTACAGGAATACCCAAAGTGTTCTTTCTGCTTCCAGACAACCCCTTTGATTTCCTTTATAAAGGGAAAATGCCAGCAAGTCATGCCTTTACTATTAGGAATTGTTCCCAGTTGATGTCCTTTGGGGGAGCTGATAGCGTGAAATGCAAATGACCTATATATTAAAGTGATGTCTCAGTTAAAGTGATGTCTCAGTGAATACCATACATGCAGCAGAACATTCAAAAGAGAGGAGCAGAAATGCTGAGGGGCTAGGGGAGTGGCAGTGGCAGGACAGATGGGTGGGTTTGACAGATTGTGGTGGGAAGAAAAACTAACATGTTTAAAACAAACATGGCCAGTGTTTTGGGCTAGCCACACATCATTCCAGAGACCAAAACCTTACTCATGAACTAGACCTTTATTGATATCAGTGAATCCCCATGTTTAAAATATTAGAATGTTTAGAGATAAAATAGAGATAATAGAGTTAAAAAAAGAGTAGGCTTCCAGCAATGCTGTACATAGTCTGATAGGCAATTGTGGTTATTCCCCTAAAGTTTACTTCATCTCTAACACCAGAGCTTCTGCTGGAGTTTGCAGTTTTGCAGCTTTATACAAGATTTTCCTTTGACTGGAAGAGTCAAAGATATAAAGACTGAACAGTGACATTTACTGTGCACCATCAAGGGGAATAAGATATTCATCAAACTGGGATTATTCTTAACCTGGTGTTTTTTGAATAAGAAAATTACATAGTTGGTTATTATGGACTTAAAACTCTGTTAAATGGATATTCTGATAAAATATTTGTTGATCTGTAGCATATGGAAAATCTGAGAATTTTAGCTTTACTCATCTTTAGTTTTGAGGATGTTCTCTGTGTGCTGATAGTTTCATATTAACTAAAAAAGCTGGGTATCGTAAAATCTCATTTATAAAAACTCAGATGAAGAGAAAATTTTCTTTGATGGTGAGACTGTTGTCTTAGTTCAAGAAATTTTTAATAATCCTTTGTTACCTGTGAATGAAGGAACTTTGTAATTCTGATTTCTCCTAAATCATGAGCTTTTCCAGAGTCAGCTTAGACACTGTTGTTGCAAATAGCCATGGTTTGCCTTATGCCAAGGAAGCCCAGAGGGAGGGCCTAGTCTTCCTCTGTTGCTGAGTATATATTGGGATGCTTTTTAAATTTTTTTTTGCATTTGTTATCTATAATGAGCTGTCTGAGCCCTGATAATATTGAGATGAACAGGAGGTATTGATGTTATACACTCCCTTCCATTCAGGATTTTCTGCTTGGAAGGAAATGTGGATATAGTTAAAGTCGACCTTGGAGAATTGTGAATATTGTTGCAATTTCTGAATATATTACCATGTGAATAGTAGAGACTGTGTTGCTCTCTAGTATAAGCTATATTTATTTTTAATTCATTTTAATTAGTAGTTATAACTGGAGAAGTTTTGTTACCTTTATCCTGGCCTGCCTAACTGGCAGTATAATAGCAGCAGACTCTTTTAGAGCATCTTAATGAAAACATGGCTGAAAGGAATTAATGATGATATCTGCAGACTGCATAGAAAATGGCTTTTGTTCACAGTGTTAACATTGTCTTCTCAATCACATTTCAGTGTTTGTGGAGAGTGGCAGATTCACAAGAAAAACACTAGGTGTTCATATCCATAGAGTGGATGCAGAATAAGCAGTTGTGACAGGAGCTTCTTCCTGCCTAGTACTCCTCCCACTCACCTCAATGCAGCCCCAGACAGGCATTAGCATTCAGTGTGGGCCCTTGGGCAGTCCTGAAGCCTGGCTGGGCCACCAGACAGGGTGGCAGCCTGTGGTGGGCATCAGCAGCCTGCTTCCTGGGAAGAGTTCCTTAAGGGCGTTGGCTGTTTTTGTTAGCTAAGTTTTTTCTGGGCTCCACCATTCCTAACTCCAGGTAGACAAAATAGACGTCACACAAAACAATTTTAAAGTACTTTGCTTAGAGCATTTTGTTTATGATTGCAATGTTTGTTTCTCATTTAATAGGAGGCTTTTTACTTTAATCTGTTACATTTTAGTGTTTAGAAGAGGTGGGTACTGTCACTATGTAAAATATGTAATATTTTATATGTTATACTATGACACATATACTTGCAATATCAGACCTTGCATTCAATATACAATGCAATTGACTCTTTGCAGACCTGCATTTTTCAGTGAACAATAAAAGGATTGTCTGGCACCAAAAAAAAAAAAAAAAAGAGAAGCCAACCATGAAAGGACAGAGATGATGGAAGTGTCAGAGATGATGGAAGTGTCAAACATAGACTGGCAGATATTTAAACAGCTATTACACATTATGCAGCTATTCTGTGTTTTCTGTGTTTAAGAAAGCAGAAGAAACCATAAATATGGTGAGAGAAATGGAAGGTATTATTCAAAAGGCTCAAGTAGAATTTAGAATTTCCCTCTTACTGGGAAAAGAGGCTAGGCAGAGAAGGGAGAAATCTTGAAGATGCTTTTCCTCCTCTCTGAATCAGTACCCAGAACTTTACTTTCTACTCCTGGCCCTGTCCCCCACCTTCCTGTAAGCCACCCAGAGTCCACAGAACTGCCCCAGCCTTTTGTCTGTGGCTCTCTCAATGGTGAGATGACCCCCACCTACATGCTGACCCAGCAGACTCTCTATGTTCCTGGGGGGAAATGGGGAGGCAGGGAACGGGGGCAGTGCTTTCTCCAGTTTTGGGCCCTTGCTTATACCACTGCATAAGTGATTAAAATCTTGTTTTTATTTTATTGTTGGCTTGTTGCTTTAATCGCCTACTATAGCACCTGGTAGCTCAGCTTTCTTTCTTTCAGCTCAGCTGAGCTCCTGAGAGTACAGAGATAAAAAAGACTGAAAAATAATGAACATCTATGACCTGTGACAAAATATCAGGCAGTTTAACATCATACAATTGGAGGACTAGGAAAAGAGTGAGGGGACAGTACACAGAAAAAAAGAATGGAAAAATAATTGCCAAAATTTTCTGATTTTGAAGGAAATTTTAAATCTATAGATCCAAGAAGTTTAATAAATCTTAAGAATAAAAAATATTATAGGAAGATATATGTTATCATTTGTAAATTCCAGAAGAATCAAAGATTTAACTGTAAAAATATAAAACTTTAAACATGTTTTTAAAAGTTTAATTTAAAAAAATAATTGTGAGTACAAAGTTCTAAGTGTTATTCCAAACCTTGAAAATATTACAGAATTATTAATAAATTTGACCACTTAAGTTTTTTAATGTCTGTATGTAATGTACATTGTAAGCAAAGGACATGTTTATCATATGTTTTACAAAAGGCATTAGATTTAACAAAAAGCACGATGGAGTTTTGTAATCTATTAAAAGTTCTTGAAAAATTAATAAAACTACCAGCAAACAATGTAAAATAAAGTATATGAACAGTCAATTAACTGCAAAAACCTATGAAAAGATGCTCAACCTCGCTCATAATTAAGGAAATGTAAATCAAAATGATAATAATGTGGGGACATTTTCCCCCTGTACGATTGAAAGGGATAATATTTGAAACCAGTGTAGCAGGAGTGTGTGACTTTGACATTCTTGCTTTGCTCAACAAAGAGAGATGTGGGAAACTCTTTGGAAGGAAATTTGATAATAGTGATCAATAATAACAATGTACCCATTCTTTGACATTGCAACTCAATTTTTAGGAAGTTATATTAAAATTACTCTGTCAGGTGCATTATAATAAATGAGTAAAAATACCCATTACTGCATTTTTATATTAATGAAAGACTAGAGAAAGCAATACCTAATGACATATGGACTGGTGTAAAAAGCTATGTGACAGTACAATGAAACACAGTGAGGCTGATGAAAAGAATAAAATATGAATATAAAATTATTTCCAAGATATATTTTTTAAAAATCTAAAAAAAAATAAGGTACAGAAGAGGATGTATGTATTAAAACTATAGAAATTAGAGATCTTAAGATGAGGGAAAAAGAAACAACTATAGAGGGTATGTGTGTATATATGTAATACACCTGTACTCACATATCAGTTGGTATTGGCATAGACTGTGTCTGAGATAACTTTAGTTGCATTTGGTCAGGGAAATTAGGAGCCTACAAAAAGAAAGACACTTACTTATCACAATTTACCTTTAAAATGTTTAGTTTTGCAAGTTAAAAAGTTTTAAGTTAGCAAAACTATTCAACATTAGCTAACACAAAGGTTTTTTTTTCCTTAAGTAAAATAGATTTTTCATGTTTTTGGGCATACAGGTTGAGAGTAGTCATTCTTGTAGTCTATTTTTCAATGACAGTAAATCTTTGATATTAAAAAATGGAATAATTATAGTTTCAAGTATATGAGTTATCTGGAAAACTCATTGCATATAGTAATTTATAATCTTGCTGAAATTTGATTTAGAATCAATTAACTCATTACATTGAGGCTAGTCAAGTGCACATTTCTAATTTTGATTTTGATGTGTTGGTTTCTAATTTATCAAGTTTACCTAATAAGCCTTACAATGAGATACAAATTGTGTGTGTGTGTGTGTGCAAGCCATTGCCAGTAATAGAAAACAATAAATCTAAGAAGCCACAACTGGGCAAATCAAAGTTTTGCACAAATTACAGAGAAGAATGCCAGCTCTGACATTTCCTCAGATTTATGCTTTGAATAAAGTTTATAAAACCCATAAAAGGAAATAAAGAAAAAAGTGTATGTGAAGAAACGAAACTACCTGTTCCTTTTCTTCTGGGCATGAGGCCTTGGTTAAAAACGTTTTCAAGCCTTTATGTTATTTGTGTTGTATATTCATAAATTTGGAGGATTCACAAACATTTTTAATACAGCCTTAAAACAGTTAATTTTTTGTCTGTCCTGTATCAGGTAGTTGTCGTACTCTTCATTTTTCCAGAGGCCAAAACTAAACCCATGGGCATCTTTATCTGGCTGCCTGTAGCGTGAACGCTTGTGAGGTAAGCACCATACTTTTCATTACAAAATTGGGGTACTATTTGATGAAAATAATAAAATATCTTCCTGATGAATTATATGCAACTTCAGATGTTTGATGATATAATACTTGCAGTAAAGATCACTAAACTAGCATATAGGGAATAAAAGGTTTGCAACCTTAAGGCCCTACCTTATACATAGCAATTTAGCAAGAAGAAGCTCAAAATGATAATCCCCCAATGCTGTCACAATTACAGTACAATAAGCACAGTATATGTCAACCACACAACAGTTATGACAGTTCGCTGAATTATGATGTCACTGAGCTGACTTCAACCCTTTTAATAAGTAACACGTAGCTGTGCAAATTAAATTTTTTTGCCATTTGAAAATTGTATTCCTGAATATCTGTGTGTTAAATAAAAATAAAAATAATCAAATTCAGCTTTATGAATAAAGGTGCTTGAAATAATTTAAGAAGATGGTTCTATAATTCCAGTACCTTAATATGATGCAACACAAGTGTGGTCCCTCAGTAAGTACCACATCTAAAATATGAATATATTTATTATGAAATAGTTAAAAAGCAAAAGCATACACTATGGTATCAGTCATAACTTATTTAAAAATCGAGACATTTCTGGGGCTGAAACTTGGGCCTTGTTTTACTTTCAGATCTTACCTTCTTCAATATATATGGCTCCTCAAAAGAGTCAGTGCATTAATCAAAACTTGCTATGAAGAAAAATGTCTTACAAAATGGACACAGATTAGACAATTTATTTTGTCTTCAGTTTATTGCTATAATTTAGTGTTCTGGAGCGGTATTGCTGAGAGGTCTGCCCTGGGAATAAAATACACTTCATTTATTTTCCAAGTGTTAGCAGCTATAAGACTAGATGGATAAGAAAGTGGTCATGTCATAAAAATACTGCACTTGCCTTCATATCAGTTTAAATGGACCAAGTGGCCAAAATAGTCTCTAGATATCACTTGAAGTAGCCTTAGTGCTGGATGTGAAAATCTACATTTCTATTCAGATAAATGAGGATCCAAGTATATGCCTCACAAAATAATAGACTTTTCACAAGCAATTCCCATAGTTATTTCTTAAAGAGCAAATTCAATTGATGCATTTAATATTAATTGTTTAAAAATGGTGGTTGAAATAATTGCTTAAATTGAACCTTTGTTGCCTGTGTTAAGATATACTTGAGCCAAGAAGCAGTTTTTGAATTAATCAACATCATTCCATAGTTCATTTTTCTTTTCAATTTCATCAAATTTTTTAGTGATTTCTCTATAACATTGTGTTTATTCTTAGGAACACATAATGACAATATAAGAATTCTATGCTATTCCGTAGAGATATCCTCAGCACTTCATTTGTGATTTTGCACGTCAGTGTTCATTCTCTAACCTCTCTTAAGTTACTTCCTCCTGAGAAAAACGATTTTCCCTGTTGGTAGGACAACATCTCACAAAATCATACGTTACAGGAAATGCATGAACAGCCAACAATAGTCTGGCCCAAGACCAACTTAGACTTGAGACTTGTCTACAAACTTCTCTTTCACCATCCTCCATCATCAGAGCAGAGTTGCCAGGGCTGCCATAATTTCACATAGGAAATGAGACAGTGGAGGAATCCATATTGGACTTAGCAGCTGAAAAAATATGTGGCTTAGCCTCTTAGCTGCTTAGTTACAGAGGCACAGATGCCTCCTGAAAGCTTAACAGAAGGTGGGAAAGTTTATTTTAAAGCTTCATCTGTGCAGAAAAAAAAAAAAAATGAAAGCATGCCCCTTTAGTTTATGAAGTTTATTAAACTAAGCATAGCAAAAAACGGCTGAGTAAATCCTAATGGAAGTTTGCATTTTAGTTACCTTATTTATAGGTAATTCATTAAATGAAATGAATTATTAGAATCATAGATTTAAGAAAGATGGTCTCCATTTAACCTATTAGGTATAAATTACCTGTTTGTCATATAATATTTTTATTACCTATGCTTTAATGGAATTGAGTTTTTTTGTCATTTCATTTAATCACACCTCAAATACTGAATACAGCTCAAATACTGAACTATAGTCAAAAGTTGTGAATATTGAAATACTTTTTTACTGCTCATTAAAAAACTAATTATTAAATGTCTCCTAAGAAAAATGCACCATAAATAATTATTTTTGATAGAAAGTGATATATAGGTAATTCCGAATGAGTGATTATGAGATTTAATTTTAATATAAACATTCATAATATTCTGCCCTTATCAGCTTTTCTATTGATTTAAAGTTCTGGAAATTATGTATATGAAATAAGTAACTGGGGGTAAAGGAGGACATCTGCCTGGCCAGATGGATAGGCTAAAAGAATTCTAGAGATAAATAAATAGAATAAAAGAAGTCACAACTGGATCATCTCCCCTTTTAAGCAGATGTATGATTTCTAGAGTAATAACTTACAGGCTGGCATATTTATTTATTCTGTATATTTTACTAAGCATCTACTCTATGACAGATACTGAATAAGGCATCAAGATTCAAAAAGATATCAAGATTTTAAAAGACCATGTTCCTTTCCCTAAGAAGCTCACAGTCTAGTTGGCCTAGGAAGGTCTGTCAATTAATCATTAAAATACAATTTCATTTCCAGTATGAATGGGCATCACCCAGAAATTCTGTATTTTATAAACACTTTCTTCCTTAATTATATCTTTATAATTATATCTCACAAATATTGCATATTAGTGTTAACTCTAACAATATCTTGTTTTTCCAGCCCTCTCTCCTTTTATATGTCTTATGTATATTGTCTAAATGCATTAATTAAACCATGTACAAGATACACTGGTGCTCAGAGGAAAGAGGATTATTCTGCCTATTAAGGTGAGACGTCACAAAGAATGTAAATATAATACATAATTTGAATACTGAAAGATTAGAAGTCTGCTAGTTCTATAAGAGGCAGGATGTATTCTAAGTATAGAGAATATTATGTTTAACCATATGAAGATATAAAATCAATGCATGCTAGGAGTTGTAAGTAGTTCATTGCTAGATATTATGACAGGGTAGAGAATGGCAGAATCTTGAAGTAGAAATAGTGAGAACAATTCAGCTAGGTAAATCTCATTTATTTTTATTATGATGGCTAACAAAATGGAAATTTGAGAAAACAATGATCACTGTTGATAAATAATTTCTCTAATAAATATTTAATAAGATTATATCTCTTTATTAATATATAAACAGGCAGGTATAAGAACTATATATATATACACACACACAATGGCCTTATCTATTGTATTAGTCAGCTTGGGTTGTCATAAGAAAATACCACAGATGACGGTTTAAACAGAGATTTATTTTCTCACATTTCTGGAGGCTGGCAGGTTCAAGATCAAGCAAACTCTCTGGTGTTTTTTCTTAAATGGACACTAATCCTGTTGGATTAGGGCTCCAACTTTATAACTTCATTTAGCCTTAATTAATTCCTTACTTCAACTACAGCCACACTGGCAGTTAGATTTTCAACATATGAATCTGGGCATTTTCAGGAAGGGAGGGGGCTGCAGGCATACACAAACATTCAGCCCGTAACATCTATCTACATCCAAGGTGTTAGTATAGTGAAGCCAATTATTCCACAAAAATAATCAGCCACTGTATTAGTTTGTTCTCATGTTGCTATGAAGAAATACCCAAGACTGGGTAATTTATAAAAAAAAAAAAAAAAAGAGAGAGAGAGAGATTTAATTGACTCACAGTTCCTCATGGCTGGGGAGGCCTCCTCTTCACAGGGTGGCAGGAGAGAGAATGAATGCCAGCAAGGGAAATGCCAGATGCTTATAAAACCATCAGATCTTGTGAGAACTCACTCACTATCATGAGAATAGCATGGGGGAAACTGACCCCATGAACTAATCATGTCCCACCAGTTCCCTCCCATGACACATGGGGATTATGGGAACTACAATTCAAGATGAGATTTGGGTGGGGACACAACCAACCACATCAGTCACTTAATTAGATACATCAGCCAATTTGGTCAAATGCTAAGCCTTACTCTCTGTTTGTAGCTCAATACTAAATGAAAAGTACACTTGGTATTGTTTGTGATCAAGTTTATGGCATTGGTTTTTCACATTTTATTTCTTGCATTCTTCTTTACATAATCAGTTGAGTTCTGAATGCTTTTTTTTTTTTAGTAAAAAGTTTTCCTTAGCAGATGTCCACGACAGATTTTGCAAAATGAGACCACTGATAGGTGGATGCTATTGAGCAGAGGAGTGCTGCTCTCCCTAAAGAATTGCCAGACCGGAATAGCAGCTAAACCAGTCCACTATGAACAGTTTAACAACTCTAACAGCCTCAGAGTTTATAGCATACCTCTCACTAATAGCTAAAGTTCCATAAAAATGCCAGAATAGTTTTCATCTCTGTCTTTGTACCAGAATCTTCATTTAACTCCAAAGCAGTCTAGTAGCATCACAATTACATTCTTCCCTTCATCTCATAAATTTAACTAGGGAATGCTGTGTGCCATGTATATTGTGTTTATTTTTCATTATAAATTCACAAAATTTGCTTGAAATGAATGAAAATTCTGTCTTGTCTACTATAGTCTGGTCATTGCGCCTTGCAAGCCAAGCAGAGCATTTGAATGCCAAGTGCAGAGCTCTGATTGGAGCTCAGTGTAGCTTCACTGTCAGCTCTCTAGTTTATCCAGATGGTGCTGGTTTTGCCCAATGTGTCATTTTTACTTTAAATGAACAATTTCACCCTTCAGTGCCAAAGAAAAATGGATCTTTTTTTATCCTTTGTGAATGAACTTAAGCTCTCTTTGAAGCATTAAAAAAAGTTTTTAAAAATGTGTAGCTTCAAGATCAAGATAACCATATTTGGAGAATATCTATTCCAACACATCCATGTAGCAGGTTTAATTTCCTTATATTTTATTTGCTTTTTTCCTTATTTTTGTCATGTATTACAGTAATTTCTCTATTTTCTTTGTCTGTGGGTGTGTGTGTGGAGATAGGGTCTCACTATGTTGCCCAAGTTGGTCTCAAACTCCTGGCCTCATGTGATCTTCGCACCTTGGCTTCCCAAAGTGCTGGGCTTATAGGCATGAGCCACCACACCAAGCCCTACAGTAACTTCTCTAACACAGACCATCAACATAGATTTTTTTTCTCTAGCCAAATTAGAATAACTAAGGACAATTTCTTCTTCTCCTAGGCAATAAATCTTTTGTGTTAATATATTCTCTTGGCAAAGGGAAGGGTGAAGATCTTGGACTTACAAAGTGTGAACTAGTGATCATAGAAAAAGTACTTCTAATTGCTATTAATGAGCCTCTCTTCCTTCTGAGCACCTTAATCACTGCATGTCATCTTCTCTTTACACCTGTCATCACCATTAAATAGAGCTCCTCAGAGCAGGACTATGTCTGATACAGCTTTACATTCCTAGAACCTAGCACATTGCTGGGTACATAGTGAAATTTCAAGAAGTAGTATTTTGGAGTGCTTAAGACCATGGTTTTCCAAGTCAAACAGATTTCACCATGAGGTCTCACTCTGCCACTGATACTGGGTGACCTTTAGGCAATTATAGTAAATATTTGTTGTTTTTATTCTCTTCTCATATTTTTGTGTAGAATCCTGATTTTTTTTCACTTCCTCTTGAGAGAAGAGGATGTGGACAGGGTGGTCTGACCCCTCTCCAGTTGGAGAGATGGTCATAAGATCTAGGCTAACTAATATACACATTCATTTACTGACGACAGTGACTGGTTCAAAGATAGGCACATCACTCAATTCAGGCTCTTTTGAGTGAGCCTGTGGTTTATCAAAATTGTGGGGAAGAGAGAGCCCTCTTCCAGCTAGAAGTTAGCAGAGGGGATGAAGTGAAGCCAGAATATGTAGGTTGGCCTCTCATTAAACACTGTGACTTTTTTTTCTTTTTAAATCATGTGACACCAAAGCTGCAATTCTTGTCTCGAAAAAAATCTTCTAATGAAGAAAATCTTCATTTTCTGCCTTAACAGCTCTTTGTCTTACATAGTGACTCTCGATGAGAGCAGGGAAGGAAGGAAGAAGACACATTAGCTTAGAGAGAATTGTTAAAGCTTCACAAGCTGCACACCATACCTCTCCTCACATAGAGTGACTCTGTTAAGAGGATTTTAATTTTTAGGAGTGGATGTGTGGGGGGAAAAATGAGAATTTATCTTTTAGGACAGTAGTTTTCAAACCTGGTTGCAGAGTAGAATCATCCAAAGAGTTTTCAAAAAATAAGAGTATCTGGAAGTGTTATTGAGCTTGAGTTTTTGTTTGCTTTATTTATTTATTTTTATTCTTTAGCTTCTGTATTAGTCAGCTTGGGCTGCCATAACAAAGTGTCATAGACTAAGTAACTTAAACAACACAAATGTATTTTCTCACAGTTCCAGAGGCTAGGAAGTCCAAAGTCAAGGTGCCAGCAAGATAGGTTTAATTGTGAGGTCTCGTCCCTTGGCTTGTAGGTGTCTGCCATCTCCCTCTGTGCTCATATGATCTCTTCTTCGAGAGTTCAGGGAGACAAAGCTAGCTCTCTGGTGTCTCGTCTTATAAGGGCAATAATCCCACCATGAGGATCCCGCTTTTCTGACCCCATTCAACCCTAATTACCTCCCGAAGGCCCTGTCTTCACACTGAGGGTTAGGGTTTCAACATATTCATTTTGGGAAAACACAAACATTAAATCCATAACAGCTTTCAGGTGATTTCAACATGCTACCGGAATGAAACCACGCTTCAAGGGAAGGAAAAATATCTTTCCTATGCCTTTTCATAGGTTCATGGTTGTGGCTACTACAGCAGAAGGCAGATTAACAAAAGACAAGGATACAAATTTATTTAATATATGTTTTACATGATATGGAATCTTTCAAGAAGAAATGAAGATCCAAAGAAATGGCTAAACTTGTGTATTTTAATGATAGGTTTGGTGAAGCGTGGGCAGTCATGGAGAAGCAGAATTAGACAAGAGTATGATCAAATGGTAATAAACAGAGAAAACTTAACAAGGTGTATTTGTTAAGGTTCTTCTCTGTGTTGCCATATCTTCAGAAACAAGGATGTGTTCCCTTCCTCTGGGTATTAAGAGTGTACCTCTTGAATGAAGGTCTTATGAGCTACTTCAGGGGATGGTCAGAAAATTCTTCCTAGGTTTTATGACCTGCTTCATGGGAGAAGAAGGGGGAGGTGAGATTGACCTGCCTGCTTGTGTGGTGTTCTCAAATTCCTTCAGCTTAAATACTTTGGGATAGCTTGTTCTGAACCTTATCAGCTACAAGCCAAACTTTGGATTATTCTTTTGTTTTTAACTTTTCTTTGGCCCCTTGACTTTGTATGTAGTACAAAGATTTGCATGAGGAAGGTGTTCCATAAACATTTGCTGAATAAATGAGTTGCACTATATAAAGCAGAGGCCTTGACAATAACATGCTTGTCATGCTTTTGCAACTTTACAGGAATCACTGGTTTGGAATTTTGAATGTTACTCTGGTTTACTAGGTAGCATTTCTCTCTACTTTTACTGCGTAATTTCCAAAAAGATAATTTTACCTTCATACTATCATAAAGAGAAGTATCAAATAAAAATTGTCGACCTTGCAAATTTAATTGATATTTGGAAAAAATAATAACTGTTATACACATGTTAGCAGTTATATGATTCACAGATTGGTTAAAAATAAATTTCAAAATCATACCCTCATTTGTTTGTGGTCTAATAAGTATCACATAAGTAACATAGGCAATAGTTTCTAAATGAAGGGAAGGGAAAAGAGAATATCCATTCAATTATTTATCAGAAGGCGATGTTTTTTGGTATACATGCAAACCAGAGTTGACTTTTAGTATATCAGAGACTTTCTTGAACTGTCTCTTAATTCCACGTGTTGAATGACACTGTATTTCAAATCATGTCTATACAGTAACATGGGATGAATTAGTACGTTTCCCAGTTATGTTTGGAAGGCCCGTAAGATGCTTGTTATTTTTTCTGACCCTAGTAGTGTTATCATGAACAGAAGCTGCAAGATTCAGCTGCATTATGGATGAGTATTTTCATTCCTGGTTTAAAACACTTTCTACTGCAAAATATTGTCCCCTTCCAAAACTATTAAAAACTGCAGTTATAAACTTAAGTACTATTTTTAACTTTTTGAAAATTAATATATTGTTTTAATAAACTCTTCTGCTACTGAATGTCATGATAAAGAATCTTTGCCAGTGTTCACATGATCAAGAGACTGTGTTAACATTTATTACCACAAATGTCCTCATTAATATTTTATAGAATGGCTGGCATAGAAAGTGGCATTAAATCTCTGAAAGACTGCTGTCTTGTTTATTCATGCTTTTACTTGAATTTTGTTGTAGCAGTAGAGAATCAAAATTTGTAGGTGGTTTCAATGAATTTCAGACAAATTTCAAGTAATGTCACTATTTTTCAATTAATTCATTTTTATCTTTTCCATTCTAAATATAAAAATACGTTAATCAATGAGTAGTTAAAGTGTTTGGGCTACCAAAAAATAGATAAGTAACCTTTCAAAAGGACCCTTGAACATGGAATTCATTCTTTTAAAGTATTCAGGCTCTTCCCTATGTTAGACACTGCGAAAGCATTATGGAAGTTTGGGAGAACTTCTTCCTTCCTGTAGGTCTTTATTATAGAGCAGCACTTTCCAGCAGAAGGGTCTGTGATGATGGAAATGTTCCTTTTCTGCTACACTGTCCCATATGATAGCCCCTAGGCACATGTGGCTTTGAGCACTTGAAATGTGCCTATTGAAGCCAAGAAACTAAATTTTAATTTGCTTTAATTTTAATTAATTTACATTTACATATAAATAGTCACATGTAGCTCATGGCTACAAAAATGGACAAAGTGGCTATAGAGGTCATAAAATTAAAAACTCGTTTTCTCAGTATCCCTTTGCAATTAATAGTGATCATGTTTTGTGTTTCACGGTTATGACTGATGAGACTGTATCTGTCAGAGTGTGGTTGCAGAAGCAGAACCACGTGAGATAGAATAGTAAGACTTAATAAGAATAAAAGAATAAGAATAATATAATGGCTACACACTTGTCTTGTTGGAAGGGTTGAGTGTCATAATTTATCAGTTAGGAGTGTGTTCTGCAGCAAGAAACAGCTTTCAGGAAATCCATAAAGGATGGCAGGGAAGCTGTCACCTATGTATCCACCTGCCTGCACACCATGCTGGATACATCTCAGATTGCAAAAGCCAAGGAAGTGCTTGCTAAAGATCCCACTGACTCCCTGCAGTGGGTTGATTCTAGTGAACTCCCAGAGTCAAGGGAAATTATCTCTAATTATCTCAGCTGCTACTGAGAGCTACCATCAGAGAATAAGTGCTACTCCACCTCGGCTCTTCACATTGCCAGCTTGCAGCGTCCCTCGGTGGCAGAATCTAAGCCAGAATCCTATTGGAGAGATTCAGAGAGATACAGCTGTGGGCTTCTCCACTATGACGCAGAAGAGAATGTACAAGGGGTCAGGGAATACCCCTGAGTTGACAAGGGGCATCCCGACACAGAGATTTAAAAGGGAGTTTGCTGTTATCAGTTCATCTTCTTGTTACCTTACATGTGGATAGGATGGCAGGAGGACTTGTGACCAGGAGACAACAGACATATGGATGGCAATAGATATTCTACAATGGTGGAGTGGAAAGAGCCTCAGGGCTGGATGACATTGCTGAGTTACTGTACCAGCCTTGGATTGACTATCTGTTGTTGTTAAGTTAGAGAAATTAAGCCACGATAGTTTATTTTTTTTGTTTATGTAATAGAAGACATTCCTAAGTGATACAGGAAAACTACAAAATTGTGCAAGACTTTCCCTCTCCCTAAGAAAGAGTTCACATTTAACAATTTTATTGGATCATAACTTACAGTTGTGGCAGTCATTTCAGGTTTGTTCCTTCCTTTTTATTTTTTGGTTTTATTTTTTCCTTTTCCTCTCCTCTCCCTCCACCTCTCTTTCTCCAACCCCTTGAACTTATCTTTCCCCAAAATAGCTTTCTTTCTTTTTAATTTATTCACTAAATATTTTATAAGACCCTACTATGGACCATGTAGTAGGTACTTACACAATCAAAATGCCCATGCTTTTATAAAGGTTTTTAAAATCACTGTGGTCCAATGTTATTTTAATTAATTAATTAATTTATTTAATGGACCATGTAGTAGGTACTTACACAATCAAAATGCCCATGCTTTTATAAAGGTTTTTAAAATCACTGTGGTCCAATGTTATTTTAATTAATTAATTAATTTATTTATTTTGAGATGGAGTCTTGCTCTGTCACCCAGGCTGTAGTGCAGAGGCATGATCTCGGCCCACTGCAACCTCCACCTCCTAGGTTCAAGTGATTCTCATGCCTTAGCCTCCCAACTAGCTGGGATTACAGGTGTGTGCCACCATGCCCAGCTAATTTTTGTATTTTTAGTAGAGATGGGTTTTCACCATATTGGATAGGCTGGTCTCGAACTCCTGACATCAGTTAATCCACCTTCCTTGGCCTCCCAAAGTGCTGGGATTACTGGCATGAGCCACTGCCACTGGCCCAATGTTATTTTTGAGCCTTATCTTTTTTTTAAAAAAGTATATTATAGTTGGTCTTCAATTTATAATTTCCTGACTTTCCCAAGAAACACTACATTTCCTCCAGACCTCTAGTACCCAATGTGGGATTTGAAGACCAGCAGGATTAGTATCATCCAGAAGCTTGCAAGAGAAGCAGAGTCCCAACTGTAAGAAGGACTTTTGCTTTATTAAAGATTTTTTGGAGGGTAAAGAAAAGAGCTGCACATATAATCTGATTTCAGAAATTCGAGAATGTGAAAAATGTGTGGTTTGGCATGGAAGAAATAAAATTTATATAGTATATATATAAAGTTATGTTTACCGTGTCAGTCAGGGCTGCCAAGGGATTCCAAAGCTGATTCACAAAGCTCACAATACACTTGAGGGGGAGGAGAAGATAAAGAAAAGTTGCTATGAAGTTATAGTTAGATAGGAGGAATAAGTTCCAGTGAGAATCTTAAGAGAATCTATTCTCATAATCTATTCTTATGAGAAACAATGAGAATCTATTGCACCATAAAATAATGTACTATATATTTCAAAATAGCTAGAAGAAAGGATTCTGAACATTTTCACCACAAAGAAATGATAAATGTTTGAGGTTATAGATTTGCTACTTACTCTAATATAATCATTACACAATGATACATATATCAAAACATCACATTGTACCCCATAAATATGTACAATTATTATGTGTCAATTGAAAAGAAAATAAATTACAAATGTCAAAAAAAGAGAGAAATATCTGATGGTTTTCCTTTGGCTAAAGAGATAAATCTTACATCCCAGAACGCGGATATAATAGACTTTACCATGAACCCTAAACTGTTCATGACATCTTCCTTTCCAGTGCCCACACATGGCATGCCCTTCCCTCTCCTAACTCTTCACCATTCAAGGAAGATGGCCCCTGCTCCCAAACTTCCCTGCTATACTCTTAGCCTGATTCTTCTTCTGCCCTTCTGTACTGGCAAACTAGTTATAATGCTTCAGGTTACAACTCAAAGAGGCACATCCTTTTCCCGCTTAGTGATGGCCTCCATCGGATTGTATTATGTTGTTATGTTTCTTCCTTCTCTGTCACTAGAATCTATGTTCCAAATCAGCATGGAGGGTTTTGCTGTTCTTGTTATCAATAATGTAATGTCTGATGTGATACATGCTCAAGAAATGTTTGATAAATTATTTCAACAGTTAGTTTAGACCAAGTTTGGCTGCAGTTGAAACAAAAACAAAACTTAGCACTCTGTGGTTCTGAACAACCAAGGCTTATTTCTAGCTCAAGGTACATGCCTATCACAGGTCAGATGTGGTTCTGCCCCATGTCATTATCATTCCAAGTTCCAGGCGGAGGAAACAGTCCCTGTATGAGACACTGCTTGTCTCAAGAGAGAGCAAGGGGAGACATCATCAAATCACAGAAAGTTGCTTAAAGCTTCTTTTTGAAAGTGTCTAATTTCACTTACAACTTATTGGCCAAAGTGAATCATGGAAGATAAAAAGAAATATAAAATCTTTCTGTAGGGAAGGACAGCAGATATTCTAAATCACAATACAACTTAATATAATTATTCATAATAACCTAAAACTCATTAATCACTTATTATGTAACAGGCATAGTGCTAAGTACTTCACAGGAATTATTGCCATTACAAGGCACTCGAGACTGCTAAAGGGCAGTAATTTATCAAGTCATACTGCTAGTAAATGGCAGAGCTTAGTGATAGAGACAGTTTAATTTGAAGATTAAACATTTGGGTTTTCATACGGCTTTGTCATAAAAGATTTACTAAATAAATATAATTCCCAAGAAAAAGAGCAGAACTAATAGCAGCAGGCTGCCTGTTGAAGCCATGGTTTTGGTTACTAACTAGCTGATAAAGTACACATGCTCTCACAATCTGTCACAAATCTTTGTGTAAGGCTGTTGTTTTCAATCAGGGCCAATTTTGCCCTGCAAGAGACATTTGGCAATGTATAGAGACATTTCTGGTTGTCACTACTTGCGGGTGGTGGTGGGAGGTTGGTTGTTACTGCCATCTAGCAGGTAGAGGCCAGGTATGCTGCAAAACATCCTAGGATTCACAGGACAGCCCCCACAACCAAGACTTATCTAGCCCAAAACGTCAATAGTGTCACCGTTGAAAAACCCTGAGGTGGGGAATGGGATAAAATATTTAGGTCATCTTTAAATATGAGACTTTATTCTTTAAGTAAATAATTATAGGAAGACATTTTCTACCCTGATTAAAACCTCATTAATTTTTACTTCATATTAATTTAAAACACCCCCAAACTTTTGATGTGTTTCTGTATTTCTAAAAATTATCTGCTGTTTATTTAGATACAGTGCAAGCTTCATTCAGATTTAGAAGGATGATGTCATTCAGCAGGAAGGTGACATTTGGAGGAGAGGCTTTGAGCACCCCAGGATGTGGTCGCCAGTCACAGAGCAGAAGAGGCGGAAGCTGCTGAGAGCTCTGTTGGCTCTTGGAACCAAATCACTTTTTGATGCACTCTAGCAACATTTTGCTCTCCCACATCTCTGCAAATGCACTTTATATTAATTAGCTAATGACTCTAGTGTTTTAGTAATGAAAATTCAAGTAAATAATCAGTACCATTAATGGCCATTCTATCTCTTCTTTTTGAACAAAACTAGCTTAATTTGCATAGTATAGGCAGGATTATTTCTTTATTATGTTAGACACTTTTTTCCTTGATATATCCCTTTGATTATTTCTAAAATGTCTCATTTCACTGAAAGATTTAAGAGAAAATTTATGACATATTTTGGCCAACTTCACTGATCAGTTTATGTTCTGATCTTTCTTTTATTTTCTTTTTTGAATCATATTAAATTATTTAAGTGGTATTATAACAACAAAATTAAGTACAAATTTTAACATAAACCTGCCTGTAGCAGCTTTTGATGGTGACATAGTTTGAACAATCAAATAATCAATGTTGAATCAGTGTTGGAAATCCTTGCCTGACACTTTGTTTATATAAACAAAATTGATCGGTTTATGCAGGCTAAATATAGTGAGGTTTTGAGAAAATAGTGCAAACGCTGTCAAGCTTTTCCTGTAAAGGACATATTTTTAGGTTTTGAGAATCATACGCAACCACTCAACTCTACGATAGCACAAAAACAGCCACAGGCTTATGTGAACAAATAGGGGTGGCTGTGTTCCCACTAAATTTATTTACATGCTAAAAAGTGGCTGGTCGAACTTGCCCTGCAGGAAGTATGTACTTGGCTGACGCTTGCCCTAATTAAATCAAAAGAGCAATCAAAATTGCACAGAAAGAAAAAACTTTCCCTCTAATGAGACCTAAGTACTCCACAAACTCTAGTGGGTTATAAAAACTCCCTGCCATCTGACCCAGACCCCATCCTCAGCATTTTTTTCCTCCTACATTCCTTTATGTACCTCATACACTAACCTAAATAAGCCATTCTCTGTCCTCTACACGAGATTTAGGAGTTCCATGGCTGTTATCCCTGTCACCCTTATAATATGTAGCATTCTACTTTAAATTTCAGCTCAGTTGTGTGCTGCTTAATGCTAGAGAATGACATTGTCATGGTTTGTCTTTTACCCAGGTTAAGTAGCTTCCTGTATCTAACACAGGATGTTGAAACTGCAGGGTTGTGGGAAAAGCATATGCTTTAGGGTCAGACATACAATCATTTGAATCTCAGTGCTGCCATTTGTTAGTTACATGACTTTGCACAAGATACTTGACCTCTTTGAAGTTTATTGTTTTATATGCAATATTAGCGAATGAACACCTGCATAGAAGTATTATAATTAGGAATAAATTAATTTGGTGAGATTGCATATGCAGGGGCTTCCGTGAATGTCAGGTATTCCCCAACTTTTCTCACCTTTAGGGAGTTATAATCATAAAATGAACCAAATAAATAAAAAAGTAAATAAAGTGTTTCAAGTCAAAGTCACCCAGTAAAATGTTTCTATTTTTATTGAGAACACTTAAGGCAATAAAATATAGAAACAAAGAAAAGAGTAAGGGCGATGAAACAGAAAAGAGATTTTTTTCTTTCCCTCCCTCCCTCCCTCCCTCCCTCCCTCCCTTCCTTCCTTCCTTCATTCCTTCCTTCCCTCCTTCCTTCCTTCTTTCCTTCCCTCCTTCCTTCCTCTCTCTCTCTCTTTCTTTTTCTTTTTTTTTGAAATGAAGTTTCCCTCTGTCATCCAGGCTGGAGTACACTGGCACAGTCATAGCTCACTGAAGCCTCAAACTCCTGGGCTCAAGCAATCCTCCTGCCTCAGCCTCCAGAGTAGCTAAGACTACAGGTGTGCACCACTGTGATGGTTAATATCATGTGTTAACTTGATTGGATTGAAGGATGCCTAGATAGCTGGTAAAGTATTGTTTCTGGGTGTGTCTGTGAGGGTGTTGCCAGAGGAGATCAACACTAGAGTCAGTGGACTGGGAGAGGAAGACCCACCCTCTATGTGGGTGAGCACCCTCCAATCGGCTGCCGACCTGGCTCGCACAAAGCAGGTGGAAGAAGGTGGAATGAGCTGACTCGCTGAATCTTTCGGCTTTCATCTTTCTCCTATGCTGGATGCTTCCTGCCCTTGAACATCAGATTCCAGGTTCCTCAGCCTTGGGATCTTGAACTTACACCAGTGCTTTGCTGGGGATCTCGGGCCTTCTGCAGACTGAAGGCTACACTGTCGGTTTCTCTACTTTCGAGGCTCTGAGACTTGGACTGAGTCGCTATTGGCTTCCTTGCTCCTCAGCTTGCAGACGGCCTATTGTGGGACTTCAACTTGTGATGGTGTGAGTCAATTCTCCTTAATAAACTTCCTTTCATATATGCATATATCCTATTAGTTCCGTCCCTCTGGAGAACTCTGACTAATAAAACCACCATGCCCAGCTAATTAAATTTTTTTTTAGAGATGCGGTCTTCCTACATTACTTACCTGGTCTGAAACTCCTGGCCCAAGCTATCCTCCCTCCTCAGCCTCCTAAGTAGCTGGGATTACAGGTGCAAGCCACCCTGTCAGGTCCAGAATAAAAGAATTTTATGTAGACCTAGGGGAATTAGATTGATAATAACTGTGGCATATCAAATTTGGGGGTATAAATGTATTATTCAATAAGTGGTATGGAAACTGCTACTGATTGAAAGAAACAATTTTAAAAAGTTCCAAATATCTCAATGGCATAAAATATTAAAAAATTAGGCCATAAATAAAACCAAGTTAAGTGCGAATTAATATATTTATAATATTAGAACATGGAAAGACTTTTAAATTAGCCATTAATTTAAAAGCTTGAAAATTTTGACCTATAAAATTAACAACAAAAATTCTGGATGACAATGAATAAATTCCAAAGACAAATTTGAAAAATTAATAACAATTTGAAACAAAACTTTATGCATATAACAAAATGGTAATTTTTAATTTACAAAAAGTTTATGTAAATCAATAAGAAAGGATGAACTAAGCAATTTTTTAAAAGAGCAAGAAGGCATTCTCCAAAAACTAGGAATGACAATAAATTGTAAGAAATTATGTTCAATCTCAGTAACAACTGAAGAAATGCAAATAAAAGAAAAAAATTGAATTTTTCTCTTATTAAACTGTCAAAAAATTAGAATAGTTTGATTTTCCTAGTGTTGTCCAGGATGTGGGTAAATGAGCTGTCTCATATGTTGTTGTTGAGAGCAAAAATTGCTACATCCTTTCTGTAGGACAATTTGGCAATATCTATCAAAATTCAAAATACTTTTATCCTTTGCCCACTCATAAAAGTTCAGTTTATCAATGTACTTATAAAAAGTTTGTCAAAATTTATATACAAGGGTATTCACTATAGAAATTTATGTAAGAACAAAATGCTGAAAACAACCAAAATGTTGTTCACCAAGATAATAGATTAATATATTACCGTGTATTAATATATTACCATGTATTAATATGATGGTATATTCTACCACAATAATAATGAAATGTAGATATATGTGCTAGTATGATGAGATCTCTAAAATCTATTTTAATTGAAAAAAAGATTTACGGTAATGTGTTAAGATCTCTTTTGAGAAAATAAATGTACAACTGGCTACATATTTGTGGCTCAATGTACATTTTGGTGATGGAAAGGAATCACAAGAAACTGTTAACAGTGGGTGCTTGAATATAGTGGTTAATATATGAATGGAAAGGAGGACGTGATGAGTATTTTACAGTATTTTAGGTTATATACTTTTTTAACATTATATAATGATTTACATTATTATTAGTATTTGTCACAGTAGTCGAGTACACCTACTTGACTGGTTCTTACAGAGATGGGTAAGATTGGGGGCCATTTTATATTTTATTCTTTATTTTGAGAAAAAATCAATCAATATTTTAAATATAAATACACACACACCAATACAAGTATGTTTTTACAGGTAAAACCATTCCCAAGAATTGTTTTAAGTGAAAGCATGTGGTTTGTACCAAATTGTGTTAAACATAAGGTAGCTATGGAGAGAAGAAAATGCTAAAAACGAAGGAAATGATCCTTTAACAGCTTGTCGATAAATATATCTTGGTTTCTTCGTTTCCGTCAGTTTTTCTGCTCTCATCCACTATCTCTTAAAATATTTGTGAACCTCTAAATGTATGTTATTGAGGAATCACTAGATCTACATGCTCTTTTTGAATGTATACATGGTCAATACACTAATTATAAAGGTAACAATAACCTGTTTGTTAATGTGCACAGTCCCAATAACCAATATTTTCAAAACAATCAATGGATTATTGGTTAACTCAAAACCTGATTGATACTTTGGAAATAGAGTTTCAAAACATAATTCTTCGTACTATATTGTAAATCTAATTCCACTTACTATATATAATCAACCTTGCCTTCAAATATTTTAAAAGGCTAATTGTCCAGGTTGTAGTGATGTTGTAAGATGGTGGAGAAATTATAGGAGAGTCACACCTTTCCTCAGCCCTTTCCTCAATGCTGCACCTTGGCTACTACACCTATCTATTCTTATTTCCCATATCAGCTTTCCTAAATGGCCATTCTACTTCTCAAAACCTGTGTATTAACACTTTCCTTTTTTTTTCTTGAAATATGAGCAAGTTTCCATCAAGAGAATTTAAAGCTGGGGTGGGGTGAGGGGAGGTTAGATGAAGTCTATATGATGATTTACCTCAGGGTCTGACATTGGATGTCTCAAATATGCTTCAGCATATCACCTAACATCCTATATTCCATTTATCTCTGTAAGTTTTATTTTTTTCTATAAAGGAATAAAGTTATGATTTTTTTCAAATGTACAGTAGTTGCTAGTAGGCTTTATACAAGTTAGTGTTGGTTTATTTTTTATCCATGGATATTAAATTTCGAGAAGTACATTTATGGTTTTTAATGAGAGTTTATATTGTAAGAATTTTGCACAAGGCCAATTTAGATTTTTTTTTCTAGTGGGTATTTAACCATAGAAAGAGTTCAAAGATTACATTAGCACAACCAGATGAGTTCTTGATATTAAAAACAAATAGCTTACTTATTTAGATTCTCCTGACATTGGCCCACAGCTCTTATCTTTAAATGCTGGTTCTTACAAAGATGGGTCAGGAGGTAAATGAAAGACACTGTGAAAGGCCTTACAAGATGAAGAGAGATTTGAACCAGTTAAGCTTTTTTTGTGAAACTGGCCTCCCATGCTCAGGGCAGTGTGATAAGTAGCACTCTCTGCTCCAAGTTGCTGATATATACCTTGAGAGTGGTGAGATGGGATTCTGTAGGCTGGTCCAGCCTTTGCTATGCTTCCCCTAATGACTGCAAGCCAGAGCCATTCAGTGATTCTCAGTATCCTCCTTCTAAAAGATCTGAGGCTTTAACATGCAAGCCTTCTTTCCCTATAATAATATACCTCAATCTGACACTTATTTACTCTTTTTCCTGGTTTTATGGGGAAGGCTCCTTCTAAGGCTCACGACTCATAAATATTGAAGAAGTTGTTTTATCAAGCATTCCATGATTCTCCTCTTTCTCCAACTTTTCTCTTTCTTCTTGATCCTTCTCTTTTCTGCATATATTTATTTTCTCCTCTTTTAAGACAAGGAAACTCTTGCATCGATCTTCTTTACTTCTGGCTATCAGAGTACATTACTCCTTATGTTACGGGGTAAGCATTTTGAATGAGTGTATTTTTGCTTCCTGACTCTGACTTATTACCTACCACTCTCTTTTCAGTCCACGGCAATCTGTTCTCTGCCTTTATCTCATACCCAAGAGATCACTCAAGTCAAAGCACTCATGACTTGCCAACATTGAAAAACAACCGACAATCTTCTTTCGTATTTTAATTGACTTCTCTGTAGTAGTAAAAATGTTGCCCCTTTCTCATATTTCCCAACTTAAAATTTTTTTTCATTTTTCCTGTGTTGCTAAGTCTCTTGCTGCATCCTAGTTTCATTTCTTACTAGACTTTTCCATTACTACCCACTATATAAATGTAGCCCTTGCTAGAGTTCTCGTCTCCGTTCCTTTTCTTTCCTTTCTCCTTAAGCATACTTAACTAGCTTCACAACCTCTCCTACCACCTTTAACCTCACAATTTTCCAACCTATATCTTGAAATCTAACTCCTCTCATTTCTGGAGCTCATATATTCAACTACTTCACTGACATTCTTGTTAGATCCTCTCTTGGTCAGTTCATTCTTATTAGATGCTATCTTAGTACTTTACTATAACAAAATACTATGGACTTGGTGGCTTATAAACAACAGAAATTTATTTCTTACAGTTTTGGAGGCTGGAAATCTGAGATCAAGATATCAGCATGGTCAAGTTCTTGTGAGGGCTCTTCTGGGTTGCAGACTGCTGACTTCTTATAGTCTCACATGGCAGAGAGCAGAGAGAGGAAGCTTGGGACTCTCATAAGGACACTAATCCCATTCATGAAGGCTTCATTCTTATAACCTCATCTAATCCTAATGGTCTCCCAAAGGTCCCATCTCCTAATACCATGACATTGGGGAGTGAGATTTTAACATATTCAACATATTAATTTTGGGGGGATAGAAATATTCAGTCCAGTACAGAGGCCTCACAGCTTCCTGAAAGTTCACACAATCAAAACTGAACAAATCCAACTCTCCAAATCTGCTTCAAAAATGAACATTCTCTCTCCAGATCTCCTTAAAATTAAACATTTCTTCTCCAAATCTACTACTCCTCTATTTTCCTTGCTTGTTATATTTAGATGCCTACCCAGTTCTTTCAAGTATTGCTCTTTAAAATATTATTTCATCCCTCTCAATCCTGGCTGTAGTGTCATGGTGCTGGAGGTGGCTGCTACAGCGGCAGCATCCCTGTTCAACTGGGGAGACAATTGCTCCCTCAGTGGCTTGGTTTTGTGTTATAGATTTGGGAGTTCTTTCTAAAAGTTCAAGTTAAAGCCTGCATCTTCAGCTTTCCAAATTACCCTATTAATACAAAACAAATAGAGATTTAATTTTACTATAACAGATTCTCTGCAACTGGATCTTTACCAATATAAACGACCAATATAATTTCCTTCTAATAACACTTGTTAGTTTTCATCACATTTTTTTGGTTGATGTGTCCATTTCTTCTACTTGACTGTTAACTACCTGAGCATGATATTCCTGCAGTAGTACACCTAGTAGATATTCAATATTTATAAACTGAATGCATTCACAAGTAAGTGGTATGTGCTATACAAAGATAACTTCATAATAACTATCTTTTCCTCTATGAAATATTTAACATTATGCTTAAAATATTAATGAAAATGTGACTTCAACTCAGTATGCTAAAAATATCTTTTAATAATAGAAATTATCTTCCAAGACTACATTTTTCTTTAATAGTTGTATCTCATTTCCAAATTTTCTTTGATGAAGAAAACTACTTTTGTTGTTGTCCTAAAAGTTTTCATGCATGATTTCATGTTCTTTGTTGCACCTGAAAATAGAAATTGAAGTTATAAAGTTATAACTTTAAGATACATTGATGCTGTCAAACTGAAGGCCATGTAATTTTTTCTTTGCATTCCTCTGTGGTTCTTAACATGTCAAGGATGACTAGTCACTTTCATTAAGCACTATGACCTGGGTATGAAAATCCAAAGATATTACAGAGCTTGTCAAAACAGCTTAGCTCTTTTGGCCTCTTCTGTGCCACTTATTTTAAAGCTCAGGAAATGAAAAGCAAAGAAAGAGTTTTAAATAATGACAGTTATGGTTAATAATTATAAATGATAAATTATAAACGATATTTAGTAGTGCCTATGTAAAATAAAGTCAGTTTGGAATTTGGGGTGCAAAATTAAATGTCTGCAGGAATGGGGCAGGTTATGTAATAAGTGAAATGGGCTAAATTGGACAAAATGAGTTGGGGAGGATGGAGGGAAAGGAGATTATATTCATGGTCTAAAGGGGCTGGTACTATGCAGGAGGAACAAATTGGTGCCTTGCAGACAGATAAGCCCAGTGTGGCAGATCTGATTTTTAAAAGAGAAAACAGAAATAAAGAGTTTGCATGGATCATTCTGAACTGTAAATATTGCCAAATACAAATAATTTACAAACAAACATAACTAAAATTTTGAGTCAATGTCAGCTCACGAGATTAGGTGCCAAGTCTAGGTTAGAATCTATTAAGAGGAGAACACTTCTTCACAATATGACTTCCATGTAATACATTCATATTACATTTCCTCAGGAATAAACATTTATTGTTAACTACATACTTATATTTTTACAAAAAAGTAGATTTTGGTCAATGATTTCTGAGTTTTTAATGTTTAGATCACCATTTAAAAACCTAACTAGTATTTTAATCAGTCATATTGAATGAATGAATAAATGATTGAGTGAATGAATGCTATAGAGGTAAGAAGGTGAATGTGAGGTAAAGCCTCATCATTGTTCTTTTAAAGCATGGATCTTGAAGTCAGGGACCTTACAAAGCCATTGGAAAAAAAATGAGTATCTAAACAGAAAAGTAAATTTGATGTCACAAGCAATCAATCACTGCAAATTAGTAAAATGTAATCATTACACTTAGACTAGGCAGTGTTTTATTAGTACATCAAAATAAGTCTGTTCCTAAGGGAAATAATGCTAGGGATAAATAGATAACACAAAGGAGAAAGTAATTCACAAAGCTGTAGATACATAGGTGTATACTTGTGATTTTACCTAGATGTTTGCTACATATCCATTAATAACTTTTATATTTATTACCAACAAAATGAAAAAAAGACATCAGGTTACTCACTCAGCTGTGTAGTCAACTTCCTGGCTTCCAGTGACAGCTTCACTGCTTGTTAGCTGAATACTTGAGTTAAATACTTGGTTTAACTCTCAGTTTCCCCATATCACAGGGTTGTTAGGAAGATGGAATGAGAAGTAAAGAGCTTGGGACACGGAATGTCACATTGTAAGCACTGAATACATATTAGCTCTTATTATATATTTTCAAGCACCTCCCTTAAAAAGTATAGCTTGATTGACTGATAGACTGTTTCTTGGTTCTCCAAATTTTTTATCTACTGAATGAATATTTCAAGTACTAAATATTATGTCAAGACTGAGAGAAAGATGAGCTTCTATCCTGGAAGTGCTCAATTACTAGTAGAGGATATAGAAATGCATACATGCCAAAAATTCAAAACAATGTGATTTTTTTCATAGAGGTTATTTTTTTTATTTTTTATTTTTTATTTTTTACAAAATATTAAGAAATACATGTGGACCTGGAAGGGTTAAAAAAAGTTTGACATAGAGGTGATATTTAGGCTAAGCAAGTCCTGTAGGACAAGCAGAGGTTTTTTCCAGGTGGAGAAAAGGAAAGAATTAAGTTAAAAAGGAAACAGTAGCCGTGCACGGTGGCTCACGCCTGTAATGCCAGCACTTTGGGAGGCCGAAGTGGGCGGATCACGAGGTCAGGAGACCGAGACCATCCTGGCTAACACAGTGAAACCCTGTCTACTAAAAATACAAAAAAAAAAAAAAAATTAGCCAGGCGTGGTGGCAGGGGCCTGTAGTCCCAGCTACTCCGGACGCTGAGGCAGGAGAATGGTGTGAACCCGGAAGGAGGAGCTTGCAATGAGCCGAGATCGCGCCACTGCACTCCAGCCTGGGCTACAGAGCGAGACTCCGTCTCAAAGAAAAAAAAAAAAAAAAAAAAAAAGGAAACAGCACCAAATACTGTTTTCTCTGAAGAGCATATTTGGTGCAAGGAATGGGAAGTAGTTGTGACTCAGTGAAGTGTAGGAAGTTGAGAGGCCTGGGTTATCCCAGATTAATAACATGTTTTATCACAAAATACACACAAAAAAGGATTCTACAGTTAGTGGGATACCAAAACAAGTGTTAAATATAATAAAATATTAGCAAGTGAAAGCAAATACCAAAAACAATGAAGTCAATGAAGCTTCACACTCCAGGCTCCACTTTCTTCTCTCTCCAAAATATACAGCACGATGTATCACATTATTACTCTTTCTAATTACTTCAACCTTTTCTTCTGTAGCAACCTCCTAAACATTTTGGAGTCTTGGTATAAGCTGAATGTTCTTGCTTGAGGTTAATACTTAAGATGTACTCACTGGCTCCTCATCATTTCAGTTTGAAAATTGATTATAAGCTTTTGTTGTTGCTATCTATAGTCATGTCTTACTACTCCAAGAACACTTAGAAAAATGCATTAAACATAGTGATTATTAAAACGAATATACCTGAACTAGGCTAATAAGACCTCTTTAAAACCATAATTTGCACAGATGGATGTTCTATCTTATGTGGACAAAACTTATTATCTAGCTTTTTACAATAATTTCTGCTTTTTAATTGAGGTTATTGTCCTAAATACTACCAGCTCACATACGGAAATTCTAAAAGGGACTAACAAGTCCGCTTCTTACTTCATATTTGGGAAAGCTCTTTGGAGGATTCTGTAGATATGAAGAGAATCCTAAAAAGTTGTATGAATTGCATTTATCTCAATCCATTATGTTTATTTTTTACTTATCAGAATGTTCCCTATCAAACATAAACTAAAGGGAAATAAGTCTAAGTTTTTCTGTGAACACCCAAGTACTGCTATCAGAATAAGATGACCTAATCATTATCTCAAAGGCAATTTGTGAGGATTAGCAGCGAATGTTTTTTTGAATTGCGTATTTGCCAAAATAATTCTGTTTGCTGTGTATATCCTTTTAGAGATCATTCTTTTTTTTTCTTGAATGAAAATCTACTTTTCCTGAAATTGAAATTGCTGAGTACAACCTACAATATAAAGTTTTATAAATATTCCATTCAGATTTCTCAAAAGATTTAGTTGAAATTTTACCTATGATGACAGATGGGATAAGAAAGACAGGGCAACATTCTTTACTCTACGTATATTCTGAACAGACAAGATTTATGTTCCTGTTTTCTACGAAGGACAGAGGATGCCAGGCATCTCTCATAAATCTGTTTACATTTGCTGTAGGATGGATATCACAGCCAATGTTTGAGTGCATTAATTTGGGGTTCAAAAGAGTCATTTTCATTCAAAATGTGAAAAACATGAGATGATGAAAGAATGATTTTAGTGGTATGCTGGTAAACATTTGAAAACTTGCCCCTTAGAAAAAGTTTAAAAAAAAAAAAAGCGCCCGGATTTGTGGCATTTTCTGATTTCCTTACTGTAAGTACTTTCACTATTTCCTATTTTCAAGTCACCAACATGATGTCAACTGGCTTACAAATTCCTAAATTGGTTTCCAAGAGTCATTATGAGTTGGCTTAACACACCAGTGACTAGAACATGATATTTATTTTTACCAATCAATTTCAAGCTCATTAATGACATGATCAAAATAATTACAGTTCATTTTTAAGTGAAAGTGGAAAATGTTGCTGCATTTTTCCTTTAATATAGAAGAAAAAATATATAAGTAGCTTTTGGAAAAATGGCACGAAATATCTCTATTTATATTGTAGGTTTTTTTGGGTGTGGTCTTCCTGCAAGCACCATTTTACTTTGAAATTTATTAGAAAAAATAAATCATAGAAATTAGAAAGTGAATGGAAACAGTTTTTCTCCATTTAATTTCATTACAATGGTACACAACAATCTCTTTGATTAATGTTGTAGCAGTTTGTGGATTGATCAGAATAATTCTTATCTATAGACAAGGCCAGGAGTATCAAGATGCTAGTGTATAAAATATATTTCCCCAAATATGTGTAATGCCTATACAAATTACTATTCGTAGTATATTTTAATACTCTTTCAAATCAAAGGAAAAACAAAAACATCTGTTAGAGAGAAAAAAAAGCCAATCATATAAACAGAAAACTTCCATGAAGTAAACTCCATCATTATCATCATTTTATTTTATAATTTTTAATTTTTGTGGGTACATAGTAGGTGTATATATTTATAGGATACATTAGATGTTTTGATACTGGCATGCAATGTGAAATAAGCACATCACAGAAAATGGAATATCCATCTCCTCAAAAAATTTATTTGACTCCACTACTTTTTCTGTTCTTCTAAATTCCTTGGTTAAGCTGTGGAAAAAGATGTTGAGTACCTTTTCATATGTCTGTTTGCCATTTTGTATGTCTTCTTTTGAGAAATGTCTATTTAAATCTTTGCCTGATTTTTAATTGGTTTATTAGATTTTCTTCCTCATTAGCATCATTTTATACTTAAGAAAACTGAAATACAGAGAGGTTAAGTAATCTGTCTAGGGTCATGCAGCAGGTAAGTGTCAGAGCCAGCACTCAATGTCCTTTTGATACCGCTACCTACGTAATATACCTTTAATATTTATGGTTTAGAATTAACTGTGCATCGGATGGGCTCTTTTGATTGTTACCTGGAGAGACTTGCTCAGGTTTCCTAAACTACATAAGAAAACTGCATAAGAAAACAGGAATTATATTATGCAGCCAGGTCTCATTGAGTCCCAGAAAAGCTGCACACGCAACTTTCAGTGAAGAGACAAGAATTGCTAAAACCATACTTCATAAGGTACTGCAACACCATTCTGAATTCAGTGCAACTGTGGTTCTCATGTGATCTTATTCCCCCTCTACAGAAAATGTTCATTGATCTTCTTGGGGTTCAGAAAAATGATATCTCAAAGTATGGTGCTTTTGTATGCTGAGTACTTTAAAGAACATTGGAAGGCTTAAGTAGCAGTCTCAGAACCAAGGTCTCACTGACCTTCTCCTGCCCTCCTATCTCACACCCCTCATTCTCTCCTGAAGTGAATCTTGAAAACCAGAATTCCTCTTCCCCAAAGTGGTCATAGAAACTAGAATCCCTTTGCCCCATAGCAAGCCATAAAATCTAGAAATATTGCTCTAACCTTCCTCCACCTTTTTCTCTAGGAGCTGACTATAAAGAAATTCTCTGACCTACCTCTCTTTAATAGTAGGTCATAAGACCCTCAATCCAGATGGGTCCTGCCCCATATCAAGAAGGAAGAAATGATACCACAGACAGCCCAAGAGGAATCCGTACAGCTTTGCTGAGTTTCCCTACTCGGTCTATTATCTTTAGGTCTTCCCCTTTTGTCCAATCACATTGCTACACAGCTGTTCATGCCTCACCAAACCCAAGCATAAAAATAGACACTTTTCCCTGAGTCTTTGAGTCTTCATTTCTGAAGGCTTTAGTGTCACATAAAATTTTGAATAAACTGGTGTGCTTTTTTCTTGTTAACCTGTCTTTTTGATGCAGGATTTTTCTCAGTCACTTCACCAGCTGGGAACCGCCGGCCGGCGACGCCCCCGCCTGGGCCTTGCTTGGCCATGCTACTTGCTGCAGGAGGTGGCCCACCCACTCAGCCCACCCAGGCTGTGCCTGGCTTGCACACTGGCTCAGCCCGCAGCTGGGCCAGGTGTGCCCCAGCCCATCTGTGTTATAGCTCATATTATGGGTCTGGTGATTCCTGAGTTCTTGTCCTGTGTCCTAGAAAAATGAGGATATGCTGACAATTGAAGGGTGAGGAGGGTGGAGAAGAATTTTATTGAGTGACAAAACAGCTCTCAGTGGAGAGGGGTCACAGGAGAGCTTCCCCACCCGAAGTCAGGTGGTTTCTCCCCCGGTGTGGATGAGTCTAGGGTTTTTACAAGCACAGGATGGGGAGGGGTGGGACGAAGGTAGCATTGGAATAGGTAACTTTTGGTTAGTTTAAAAGCATTATTCAGAAAGAACCAATTGGGAAAGAGCAGGCAAACAGGAATAGAAGATCTCACTCTAGGTTGCAGGTCTCGGGCTGATTTTGGATTGAAGGTGGGGTTTCACTCGGGACCTTCCTCTGTCTACTTAGGCATTTGTCTACCTCCTGCTGCTCTCATTTTGTTATGAATGTTGGCCATGCCCCTCATGATGGAGAGGAAAGGTATTAATCTCTACTATTTCTGATTCTACAATGTCTACTATTCGTGTTCTGGAATTTATTTGACTCCACTACTTTTTCTGTTCTTCTAAATTCCTTGGTTAAGCTGTGGAAAAAGAAATTCTGATTAACTCAGCAAATTAGTGTTGCACCTGTGTAAGCAGAGCTTTATGCTAAGCCATCTTTATGAAAGATACTAGATTATTCTTAAACAAGGAGAGAGAGGAAGTAGGAGAAAGCAAAACTTCAAGTTTGGGCAAATAGGTGAAAATACAGGAGAATGAAGGGATAATGATTTCAATATTGGTTGACTTTAGTCTTAGGTACTACAAAATACATAAGAAGGTATTCGTTCTATTAATTCTATTCATTTACAAGAAAAACTGAGTGGTCTGCAGGTCAGGAAAACCCATTAGTGAACCATCAGTGTACTTGTCATGTTTAAATCGAGTGTCTCTTAGCCATGCCATAACTTAGTCTCATATTCTTTTTTTATTTAAAAATTGTGTCAATTAAATATTTAAATTAAATCCCAATGCATTTTGAGTGTGAAGTTTTAATTAAAAGTCAGTACACTATGGTTTTCTCATGTAAATTTTTTGCTTGAAGGCTGCCTGGCAAATAAAAAATGAATAAAACAGAAAATGTCTTTGAGGTAAACTCAGCAAAATCATAGATGCAGTTCCACTGAGTACTGCTGCATTGAAAATCCCTCAGAGATAGAAAAAAAATAATTGCTATCTGCAATACTGCACATTCCCTAAACTACGCTCTTTGAAGCAGTCATTAACAGCAGCATCCTCAGTGTATAGTGTTTTATGGTCTCACTGTGTGTGACAACATTAAGCATCATTAAAAAGGGTAATTAGAATAAAAATGCAAAGTTCCATACATCTTTTGAAATACATCACATATAGTCTGTCCTTGAAACAAAAAAGGGCATGAAAATAAAGTTAACTAACCTTTTAAAATACGTGAATAGAATAAGAATGAAATCTTTAGATTGCTTTAAAAGACACAATTAATAACTCTAAAACAAAGTGCTAAAAACAGAAAATTTCAGTGCTTGAGCAAGTAAAATAATGTTGTTAAGAACTGAACTGGTAATAGAGTAGAAGAGTAAAGAAAAACAAAACATATAAATGTCTCTTTGAAGAAACCATAGGATCAAGAAGAAAAAATTTATTGCTAGGAAGCAAAAAAATAGAAAAAATATTATAACTGTCCAATCTAAATACAAAACACCCATATAATGACATATTATGTAAACATTATCAGATATGCTTTCAAAGTGTAGTTACAAAAACAATCACATTGTCATGGTAAAATGGCAAGATTTGAGATACCCAGCTCTATAGAGAGAATTATTTAAAATCACAAAATCAAATGTTTAGTCTCACTGTACATCATCCAGAACTGTTATCTGAAAAACACATAGTAATTTAAAAAATTACTTAGACTGAGTTACAAAATTACAGTGGCTCATGCTTGTAATCCCAGCACTTTGGGAGGCCAAGGCAGGAGGACCGCTTGAGCCTAGGAATTGAGACCAGCCTGGGCAACATAATGAGACCCCCATCTCTGTAAAAAATTTAAAAACTAGCCAGGTATGATGGTACATGCCTATGTTCCCAGCTACTCCAAAGGCTGAGGTGTGAGGATAGCTTGAGCCCTAGAGGTTGAGGCTGCAATGAGTCTTGATCACACCACTGCACTCTAGCCTGGGTGACACAGTGAGACCCTGTCTCAGAAAAAAAAATAAATAAATAAATAAATAAAAATAAAAAAATACTATTTCGAAGAATGAGTTCATTTTTTACATGGTTTCTAGCATATTTTTTTCCTGAAATAAAGCAAATGCTGACCAGTGTAAGAGTTCTACAGGGATGCTGGGTGTGAAATGCAAATTTTAGGGGAAAGTTTGTCATCTGTGACTCAAGAAAAGCTGATAAAGTCAATGATAATGAGAATCCTCTGCTCCAGCATAGGGAAATGGAAGTTGCATTAAAAAGGTAACTCTTGTTTTGTTCAGGAATAACGTATGCTTTAGCTTTGGGTCTAGGGTGAACTGAACTGTTGGGTGTATTTTTCCTTATTATACTTAGGTTTGATTTCAATCATACTTTCTGAAGAACCCCCATTGAAAATTATAGTTAAATGGATGCACTAATTTTTAAAGAGCTTTTTATAAAATATATCAGAAACATGAAAACAAAAACTTAAGTTTTAAACATTAAAAATGCCATGTTAAACATTAAAAATTAAATAACTATATTTCTTAGTTATTAAGAAAAATAACTTATTTCTTAGTTGTAGGTTGGTCATCATGAGAAATACTCCCTAAATTGGTTCAAATATTGACGTGCCAGAGATGTTGATTTATGAATTCACAAGGTATTTTGAGATTGAAAGCCATGATTTCCACTAGGAATGAATTTACATTCTGCTTTAGGGAAACCAGATGACTTTCACTGCTTAATCATTCTGTTAAGTACTTCGTTAGTCACAACTTTAGCCTCAAGCCTCTATGGAGATTAGGGGAGCACACAGGAAAAGACTGACAAAGCTAAATTGAAAAGATTCGCGAAGTCTTGACTTAATATACAGGAACACTTTTGTTCCTTCACCAAATTTAAATTTCTAACTAGGATCATATTTTTACGTAAAAACTACTTTGAGCACTAAAGGATAAAAACAATTGACATTTTCATATACATATGGGGAAAAAAAACCTTAAACATGCCTCCTTCATACTTGCTAGTACTAGAAATCTTGGTCTTACCAAGGAAAATTTGCAAAGATCCTTACAAAAGGATTTCTTACATAAATCCAGATAGAGCCAAGTCATTTTGTCAATGATCAATGGTTATGCTTTCTTGTGGCACTTCCTTGTTGCTGCTGAACATCATGGTCTTCAGGGTATTGCAGATATTCCATGGGGCCTTTGCTAGGAGAATTGTGGACGAAGGACCAAAATTATGAGCATTATTTGGGAGCTTGTTTGAAATACAAAATCTCAGGTGACATTCAAGACCTTGTGGATGACAATCTGCACTTTAACAAGATCTCCAGGTAGATCATATGCACGTTAAACTGAGAAGCACTGTTCTAAACTTGTCAGGGTCGCACAGGTGCGAGTCTCACCTTTACAGTCTCTCACTTTCAAACCACAAGGATTTTCTAAGTACCATTTAACCCTCCCACTAAAATAAATGAGTCCTAGATTCCCTTCTGTGATTCAAAAAATTCTCCTTCTAAGTTGCAGCGAGCTAAGTTTCTGTCACTGGGAAGTAAGATGGATAATATTGAGGTACCTGGAAAGACAGACAAATGACTCTGGGTTTCACACACCTTCAGGTTACCATTACTTTTTTTGTTCAAGTACTTAAAATGTAGAAATATCTCAGACTTATAGAATTATTTTCCAGATGAAGGCCTCAGTTGGCCTACATGAACTATGAGATTCCTATTTCACTTCTAACATAATTTAGATGTTATTTTACTAAAAGAGAATCCCCTGCTAGGCTCTACTCCAAAATGATGTACATTTTGGAAGGATCATTTACTTACGTGATGAGTTTCTTCTTATTTGTTTGTTTGTTTATTTATTTTGAGACAGAATCTCACTCTGTCGCCCAGGCTGAAGTGCAGTGGCGCAATCTCGGCTCACTGCAAGCTCCGCCTCCCGGGTTCACGCCATTCTCCTGCCTCAGCCTCCCGAGTAGCTGGGACTACAGGCGCCCACCACCACGCCCGGCTAATTGTATTTTTAGTAGAGAGGGGGTGTCACCGTGTTAGCCAAGATGGTCTCGATCTCCTGACCTCGTGATCCGCCCGCCTCCGCCTTCCAAAGTGCTGGGATTCCAGGCGTGAGCCACCGCGCCCGGCCCCGTGATGAGTTTCTTCTAATGTTTCCTTTACTTAAGGAAAGCTTCTTCCAGTTTCATCACAATAAAATGTGTGGAAAGCCCTTTACAGTAAAATAATATGTTACTATATAAACAAACTGAGTTTTAATAACAGTGCTGTCAGAGGCATTTGAACCAGACTGACTCCGTCTTGAATAGCGGTTGGGTAAAGTAAGGCTGAGACTTACCGGGCTGCATTCCCAGAAGGTTAAGGTGTTCTTAGTCACAAGATGAGGTAGGAGGTGGGCACAAGGTGCACGTCACAAAGACCTTGCTGATAAACAGTTAGCGGTAAAGAAGCCAGCCAAAACCCACCAAGATGGTGACAAAAGTGACTTCTGGTTGTCCTCACTGTTCATTATACGTTAATTATAATGCATTGGCATGCTAAAAGACACTTCCACCAGTGCCACGACAGTTTACAAATGCCATGGCAACTTCATGGAAGTTACCCTGTATGGTCTAAAAAAGGGAGGAACTTTCAGTTCCCCAGGAATTGCCCACCCCTTTCCTAGAAAACTCAGGAATTATCCACACCTTGTTTCATATAATCAAGAAATAACCATAAAGATGATCAACCAGCAGCTCAGTCTGCTGCTCTGCATATGGAGTAGCTATTCTTTATTCTTTTACTTTCCTAATAAACTTGCTTTCACTTTTGTTACTGGAAAGGAGTCCCAATCTAGACCCAAAGAGAGGGTTCTTGGACTTCTTACAAGAAAGAATTTGGGGCGAATCCATACAGTAAAGTGAAAACAAGATTATTAAGAAAGTAAAGGAATAAAATAATTGCTACTCCATAGGCAGAGCAGCAACATGGGCTGCTCTTTGGCTTTTTTTATGGTTATTTCTTAATTATATGGTAAACAAGGGGTGGATTATTCATGAGTTTTCCAGGAAAAGGGTGGGCAATTCCTGGAACTGAGGGTTCCTCCCCTTTTTAGATCATATACGATAACTTCCTGAAGTTGCCATAGCATTTGTAAACTGTCATGGTGCTGATGGGAGTGTCTTTTAGCAGGCTAATCCATTATAATGAGCATATAATGAGGAGTGAGGATGAAGTCACTTTTGTCACCATCTTGGTTTTGGTGAGTTTTGGACTTCTTTACCAATCCTTTTATCAGCAAGGTCTTTGTAACCCATACCTTGTGCTGACCTCCTATCTCACTCATCCTGTGACTTAGAATGCCTAACTTCCTGGGAATGCAGCCCAGTAGGTCTCAGCCTTATCTTACCCATCCCCTATTCAAGATGGAGTTGCGCTGGTTTGAATACTTCTAACAGATTCGCCTCAAATTCTTTCTTGTGTGAAATCCAAGAACTCTCTCTTGTGGTCCGGACTGGGACCTCTTTTCTGATAACAGTGTGTGCCACAAGGAATGCCTCAAAGAAGAACACTGCACTGACAATTTCTAAACAGCAGCTTATTAGGGAAAGTGAGAGCAAATTGTTTTGCTTATGCATTGGCTCTGGAGTTCTCAGGGCAAGATGTCAGAAGCAGGATGCATCTTTGGATTGGTTGCGTTCTTAAAAGGAGGATGGTTGGAAGTGAGATGAGATTCTAAGTGAAGAGAAGAAGTGTTGAGTCATCACACGTTGTGAGGCTGCAATTACAAAGCTGATGATGATGGTTGTTCCGTTTTTCAGGATGAGGGAGGAGAAAGGCAAATTAAACTGAAATGTTATACCTTTCCAAAATTAAAATCTCCATTTTTGTAACTATTCACTGTATGAAATATACTTTAACAAAACTTCAAATACACAAGAGGAAATATCTAATTAAATGCCATCTTGCCTTCAACAGCTAAAAGCTATGTGAAATCAATTCTATCTCCATGTTTCTGTATACACATTGTTTTATAAAACTGATATACTTCAAGAAAGGAAGATAGCTATCTAAAGCCATCAGTTACTGGGTGTCAAAACTGAGATATAAAGTTTGTATCGACTGTTCTAAATTCATTTATTCATTCTTTCCTTCATATGACTACTAGTTCCATGCTACAAGTTACCACCCAGAATGCCCAGCTCCAAGGATATACTGGTGCACAGCAAAAGTAGACTAGTCAATGTCTTCTGTAACATAATTTACGTACAACGAAATATTCAATCTTAAGAGTAACGTCACCCTAGAAAGTTCTCTGATGCCTCTTTCTAATCAATTTCCTCCCCATCCTTTGTGAGTTAAAGAACATTGTGATTTTTTTTCTGCTATAACTTAGTTTTACCTGTTCTAGAACTTCACATAAATGGAATCATTCATGTATTCTTTATACACATGGAATTGTTTGTGGCTTTTGTGTGAGGCTTTTAAAAAAAAAACTGAGCATAATATTTTTGAGATTCATTCTTGTTGTACATTAATCATTTATTGCTGTGTAACATTCCATTGTGGATACAGCACAATTTGTTTATTCATTCTAATAATGGACACTTGGGCTGTGTCCAGTTTTTTTCTATGATGAATAAAAATGCCATGAACATTCCTGTACAAGGCTTTTTGTAGGACTGACACTAGAAATTCCAGCTACTTGGGAGGTTAGGATGGGAAGATCGCTTGAAGTCTGGAGTTCCAGGCTGCAGTGAGGTATGATCACACCACGGCACTCCGATCTAGACAATAGACTGAGACCCCATATGTAAAGAAAAAAAACCTCTTTTTATAAATATATGTTTTCATTCCTGGGGTATAAGGCATATATAAATTAATTTTATACAAAAAAGCCAGATCATTTTTCAAAGAAGTTGTGCCATTTAACTCTCCCACTAACAATATGTGAGTGTTTGTATTGTTCTACGACCTCATCAACATTTAATATTGTCGCTCTTTTTAAAATTTTAGCCCTTATTGTGGATCCATCCATAGATAATTTAAAGAAAAAGTACACAAATTTATTTTCTTATTTCCTAATAACATTCCCATTGATTATATACTCCCATTATATTTCTAACTTTTTTCAAACATTCTTGTAGTAGGCTTGGAAATATCCCGTATTAATATCTGGGTAAAGTGTGCCTTCTTATTTGCATAATAATGAGCAAGGCCTTGTAAATTAGGGAAAATAACTTTCTGTTATTTGAGGTTTGACTTGGTGAGTCCAAGGTTCTTTCGTCATCTTGGAAAAGAAGTTATGAATCTTCCTCATAACCTGAATCCTTCCTAAAGCAACACTGGACAAATGGCCATCCGTATTCTGTTTGGTCACTACCCGTAATGAGTGGCCTGCTTTACATGACGTCCCAATCTATGTTTTAATGTTCATAGTTTGTTGTTGCTGAATAAATCCAATTTGATCTCAGGTTTTTTATAGAATACCTGATTATGATAATGTGATATATCATTCATTCATTAAATGCATGTGTACTCATTTATAACAAATATTGTCACATATTCCAGACAGTTTCTGGGCAAAGTATTCAGGATCCAGTAGTGAATAGCAATGTCCTTACCTACATAATTTTTTTAGTCTAGAAGTTAATCATTCTCTAGCATTGTTACTTACCTGGTTTTCCCTAGTCTCTTTTTCAAAATACAAAGTAGCACTTACAGGTGAACTCTACCTGTTACAGAGATGTATTTATAGCAACACCAGGAAGATATTTGTTTTCTTAAAAGATGGGGTCTGCAGCCTCAATCTCCTGGCCTCAAGTCTCTCATCCAGTTTCATGTAATTACCTGAAATAAGAATATTGTTTTCTAATATTCTTCTTCATTTAACATGTCTAGCTATTAAATATTATTAAGTTAAAAAAATCTCCTAAAATGTCAGTGCTTTGTTTGTTAATAAGTTGTGCTCTTCTCTAATTGAAAGAATATTAAAATGCATTTATATGAGTTGTCCTCATATTTACATAAAATGGTTTGAGCATATTTATAAAAAACGGTTTAAGGTTATCTAGAAAGTCCAATGTCTAGGGCTTCCTCAGAGACAGTATCTATCGGCTGCTTTTTCCCGGTGTGTAGGCCATACTTTCCTGATTCTCTGCATGTCTCCTAATTATTTTGTTAAAAACTAGAAAGTTAAATAATATAATGCACCAACTGTATAATTTAGATATTTCTTCAGGTTTATTATTTTTGCTGTTTCTTGTTGTGGTGGATTTCTGGAACTAATTCTTTAAAGTCTGTATTCTTTATTATGTGTAGCCACTGAAGTCTCTGCTCTGTTAAGCTTTGTGGTCAGGTAATGGTTGAACAGAGATTCCCCGGAATGCTTTGAATAAATAAATCTCTCAGCTCTTGCCAAGGGCTGGCTGTGTGTGTGTGTGTGTGTGTGTGTGTGTGTGTGTATTTGTGTGTGTGTGTGTGTTTGTTTGTTTGTTGGGGTATTGTCAGAGGCGTTTTAACCAGAGCAACTCAATCTTGAATAGGAGCTGGGTAAAATAAGGCTGAGACCTGATGGGCTGCATTCCCAGTAGGTTAGTCATTCTTAGTCACAGGATGAAATAGGAGGTTGGCACAACATACAGGTCATAAAGACCATGCTGATAAAACAGGTTGCAGTAAAGAAGCCGGCTAAAAGCCACCAATACCAAGATGGTGATGAGAGGGAGCTCTGGTCATCCTTACTGCTCATTATACACTAGTTATAATGCATTAGCATGCTAAAAGACACTCCCACTAGTGCCATGATAGTTTACAGATGCCATGGCAATGTTAGGAAGTTACCCTATATAGTCTAAAGTGGGGAGGAGCTGCCAGTTCTGGGAATTGCCCACCAGGAAACTGATGAATAATTCACCCCTTGTTTAGCATATAATCAAGAAATAAGCAGCAGCTTAGGCTGCTGCTCTGCCTATGGAGTAGCCATTCTTTTATTCCTTTACTTTCTTAATAAACTTGCTTTCACTTTATGGAATTACCCTGAATACTTTTTTGCGCAAGATCCAAGAACCCTCTCTTGGGGTCTGGATGGGGAACCCTTTCCAGTAACAGTACGTTTTCAATGCTCCTGAAGGCAATTTACAACTCCTTCTCAGTCTTCACTTCCAACTTGCACAGAACCTCAAAGTCAACCAGAGGCAAGAGATTTGGGCTGTCTTCTGTCTTCCTTGGTCATAGGCACAGCACTGAGTACATGCGTGGACTTCTAAATTTCCAGCAACATCTGAGCTTTTCATAGCCCTCTATGGACGTTCAATTCCTGCTTTTCCAAATAATTATCACTTGGTGTTTTGTACTAATGTCCTGAAAAGAGTGCTGTTCATGTAGAGGGATCTCTGATTCAGGTCAAATGAAAAGAAGCCCCTGAGGATGGAGCTTCTTGGCAAGCTGCCATATAGGTCAAATAGTGACAGGTTTTTGAGGGCGGGGCTTGGGGATACTCCAGACCAGTTGGCCTCTGCAAGGGCTTGCTAGGCTGCTAGTTTTCACTGCTGTAGTTATGAGACTTTTGGTTTCCAAGGCTACTGCAGAGCAGGGGAAAGGAGCACATAAAAGACACATTAAATGCCATAAAGCTCAAGGTTCATGCTAAGATTCAATTGTTTTTCTAGAGTAAATGCTCCTCAGATTGTTGCATGACTTTAGCTAATTTCCAGAATTCTGAAAATGTTCATTTTGACAGTGTTTGCCAGCGTTATCATTGCTTTTATGCAAGAGCAAATTTTCAGAAGTCTTTGCTTTTCCAGGAGTTAGTCCTCTATCTTGCAAATTTTATCATTACAAATGGGAAAATAATACTACCACTTCATGACACTAACAAGTGATATTGCATTTTTTTCTAAATGCCCTTCTAGTCTTCATTCATATAAATACATTTTATACAATAGGATAATAACAAGATTTGTAGTCTGATTATTTTTCTTGATATTGTATGATGAACATTTTCTGTTTCTACATTTCTAATTCTGTGTTCCATATTACTGACATCTTACAATTTATAGCTTCTTTACTTCGATTATTTGTCTCTAATTGTTTGAGATTATAAAAAAATGCTATGATGTCTAATTTTGGATATTTTTCTTATGAAAAATTTCTAGGAAGCAGAATTAGCAGATCAAATGATTCTTAGATAACTTTAAAAAAGTAGGAAGCATAATTAGTAGCTCAAATGATTCTTATATAACTTTTAAAAAGTACAATACACTTTCCAAGACAGGACTGTATTTATAGTTATTTATTATTTCTCCTATCTCTTTACTTTTGTACACATGCCTGCCTTGTGAACATCTTTTTATTTTATGAGGTTAAGGGACCCACCAATAAAAATTTCCTTGATATACATTTTGTAAGCATTTGTACATCTTATTTCTCTATTCATACTTTTTAGCAGTTAGTGAAATGACCAGTAGGGTTAAGCAAATGGAAATGTTTTATGCTATTTAAACTAAGATAATATTTATTAATATAATATCTATATTACAAGCTTCACTAGGTAATATTTAATTCCCTTAGGCAAGTGCTTCTAAAACTTTATTTTGGGCATGACTAAATTGGGAATTCTTGTTAAAGATCAGATGCTGAATCAGTAGATCTGGGGCAGAGCCCAAGAATATGCATTTCTAATAAGTTCCATGAGCCATGAACCACAATATAAATAGCAAGACCTTGTGACATTCTTCTGTGTTTGTGTTACTGCCCAGATGGTTAAAAGGATGAATTTAAAGTTATCCTAGTTCTGGTCAAATCTTGTTTTGAAATCTTCACCTTATTTAAAGAAATACACTGGAATTAGGGCTCGAATGGGAATAGACAGATTTAACAATGATTCCTGGTGCATCCTCTTGGAGCAGACATATTCACTGATTAGTTCCCATCCTTCTAAACACTGCATCCTTCCCTTTCTCCTGTCTATCCGCTCTCTAGGAGCCTGTTTTAGAAGACATCATCTAAAGTTCAAAGCTTGATAAAACACCTTGTTACTTTTCACTGCTTGTTAAATTGTATCAAGGATATGAATTGTTTAAATGAACAATACTTTTTAGTATCAATACTAAACTTTTCTCTCTGATTTTTAAACTTAAAATTGAAAGTAGGATCACAGCAGCTCCCAGGAGGTATTTGCTTCAGAACAGTAGGCAATATTTCCAGTTACAGTGCTTTTGTGATATGCCTATCATCTTCCATTCTTAAAAAAACCAAAAATGCAGACAGATGGCTATCTAGATTTTATAAATGGATTTTAAAAAATAAACTACATTTACCAGGATGTGCATTGTCAGTAGGATTTAGGGTATTAGCATATTCATTGTTCAAGTTTTAAAGTATTACAATGGAATTCTCTTCTTTAATGGAACTGTATATTATTTGAATTAAACAAAATAGTTATGGCTTTAGTTTTTTAAAATTAACTGTTTTATATGGCTTAATAATGTAAAGTAAGTATTGTAATATTAAGTAGATCACTTAAACTCATATCTAAATAAATCACAAGTGACTCAGGACAATCATAATGGATTGTGCAGACTTAAGAGAAGAACTTCTTATAAATATGGTACCTTAAAAATTACAACAAACCAGGTATAAAACAGATAACACAAAATTACAGTCTGGTTAAAAAAAAAAAAGTCTCTGGCCTAGAAAATGTGTGGCCTTAGTTGGAGGTAGTCCTAAACTGATCATGACCTCACATACATGCCAGAAGCAAATGTGGGAAGTATCTTATTTACAACATTGTAGGCTTCAAATGATTTCTTTAAAATTTTTTAAAGTACAAAACCAGAAAAATGGCCCCAAGTGTAGGTAGATCTCAGAGATGAGAAATGTCTTAGATCTCAGCAAGCACAATAGCAGCAGCAGCAGAAACAGCTCTTCACATGCTGAAGAAATTAGAATGATCAGATTCAAACTATGAAACGATTGTGCTATGTTTAAAGAAGCAACAGACAGTCTTGAAGATATCTGCTGGAAACAGTAAAATAAAGTGACATGGAATTATTAAGAAGGAGCTGAAAAATGTACAAGGATAAAAATAAATGAGAAGTATTTTTTGAAATTCGGTACATATACTGAGGAACAGAGAAGTGAAATAGAGGATATAATGAAAAAGTATAATATAAATTCAATCAGGATCCTGAAAGGAGAGAAGATAGATTTGAATGGGGCAATATTCAAAGTGATAGTTGCTGAGAGTTTTCTAGAAATGATGAACAGCTATAATTCACTAATTCAAGCAGCTGAAAAAAACAGAAACAAAAATGCTAATCCAGATTGATAAGAAATTCTATACCTAGACACATCACAACTAAACTGTAGGGAAAAAGACAAATAGAAAATCCTAAAAGCAGTCGTACTAAAAAAGAGAGAGACTACTTTCAGAAAAGTAGCAGTCAGATTGAGAGAAAAAAGGAAGTTATTTACAGTTAAAAAGAAATGAGATTCTGAACACATATGGAGCAATTGGTCTTTGAATAGAATAACATGTACTCTGTTGTAATAAGAAGGAAGAAGATGGGTATAGATGAAGATGTTTATAGATTCATGAGAGAAATGAGAGTGTTCCCATCAGTGAAATGTGAGACAAGATTATCAGTTAATGGTAAAGAAAGAGGATGTGGAAAGTCATGTATTCAAGAGTGGAAAACTAGAAAAATATATAATAGGATTGCAGGCAGTAATCAGCAATATTACATGAGAATTGTGGAAAAGTGATATAGGAAAGGCAGCTATAGCTTGACAAAGCAGGTCCTGGGTGACAGGAGATTTGAGAGATTCTGCAGCAGAGCAGATCAAGTGACTGCAGACAGGAGACTGGCTCAGCTGGCAAATGACAGCCAGAATGCATTTTGGAACATATTCAATTTTCTCAGTGACTTCCACAAGTGCTTAGGGAGAGGAACCTGGTAAAATATCATTGACTATCTTTAATCAAAAGTTGTAGGGCTTTCCAGGTAAATATTAAATTTATCTGTGATTTCACACACTGGTTGAATCTCAGATCTGTAGTTTTCATATGCAATTAAGTATCTATGCAAGAATGCATGCTGCATTCTCTGCCACACTCACTCAGTGATTCCAGATTATTCTCTAGATATAGGTATAGAACTGCCCCATATCATTATCTTGCCCATCTCTGCAAGAAGACAGAAGTCCCATCACATTTTTTTCAATATAAAATATTGAAAAAATTTTTAATATAAAGTTGGGGAGAACTCAAAGGCTGTGGCAAAGCTCAGGGGCCATTTCTTAGGCATTATTTTATCTGCTCCCATCTGTGAGATGGCGGTAGTTTAGGCACATCAGAATATTTGAATTAGCCTATTGAAATAATCACTAGTTTAGTTTGAAAAAGAAGGTAAGTAATTTATGAGCCCACATTCTAGTTACAGCTTATAAAATATTTGAACAGCTGGGCAAACATTTCTTAATTGAATTAAAAGGAAGTAAAGAACAATTATTCACTGCAGTAATGGTATATAAATGGGTCCAATAAAAGCAATAGTGGGGATCATTGCATCCTAAGTACTTACTGCAGTTAACTAGCCTTGAGTTGTTGAGGAAGAAATGCCTTTGTGATGTGTGGGTAGCTCTAAGCAAGGACTAAATTGAGCAAATTCAACATTCCTCATGGTAAATAAGCATTTAACAATTCTGTAATCTACTTCTCCCCAACAATAACAGATTACTTCTCATTACTCTACTATTTAAGTTGTTGCTGAACATTTAGCTTATACATGCATTTAGAATTGTTCAAAAGTCCCTGACATCTTCTTATCGGTTGTGAAGTAAGTTTGGTAGTCTACACAGGATAGCATTCAATAGTTGAATACCAATTTCAGGGTTGAGTACAGTTACTGTTCCAAAGTTCTATTTACCATTTTATTTCTAGCATTTTAGGTCAGTACCAGTCCATGTAGGTGTGTAATTCATTTACTGTATTAACTTATTATACTTAGTACAGTCATATCAAAATGCTCAAGGTCAAAGTTTGAAACATAGTTATGTTCCTGGAAAGATCTTCACCTAAAATTGGGGTAAAGATCACTACTCTTCTCTATATTATTATGTGTAGCTGTGTTATGTTATTCTGCCTACATTCTTCATATATAATTTAGTATGTCACTCAGGGAAGCCTTGTTTGTCACTAAGTACAGGACTTGTCTTCAGTTTGGACAGACTTCAAAAGACATTTGCCAAGTGGGTAGGCTTAGAGGTTGACTCATAGTTACAAAATTCAGAGGTGTCTATGTGTATGTCTCTCTCTCTGTATGTTTATTTGATGTATTATTTATTACAATAAGAAATATAACTGTTAAGTGAAGCATCACAATTTTTGTATGGGACATAACATTATTTTCACATTGCTTTTCACCTGATAAGAACTGACTTGAAACTAGGGCTTTATTTTCATATTTTAATGGATAATTTTATCAAACTAAGGTATCGTGATTGGTCATTTCCCTTTAAAGGATCTGCCAGCCACAGGGGTTGGTAATGGCAACGTTTACATTTCAGAACTTCCTCCCAGAACAGCCAGCAAGAACACCATGTGTGGTCTTAATCAGCTCTGTTTTTTGTAGGTTTTTCTGCAGACCAAGCTCTATTTGCCTCTTTTCCCCTTGGCTTGACTTTTTCTTTAATGATTTATTTCAACTTAGATAAGTTAATAGAACCAGAATGAAGTTACATCCAGATTTTTTTGTTTGAAATGTTGCTGCTCCCAGAACTTCATAGACACTCACTCATTTGACCCCAATGTGAGGCTCTTTGGTTCAAATACAGTCTTCAGCACCCTAATCACTGGTGACAAAATGAGGCATAATTTCCCAAGTAACAGAGTCAAAATTAAAGTCTAGAGCAATCATTTAATATATTTTGCTTGTAATTCCAGTTGCACAATAAATGGAATGGATAAAGTTTGGTGAAACCAGGTTGATTATAACACCTTACATTTGCATGAAATGCTGTATTTCACAAAGCCTGTTTGAAACATTACGTCATTTCAGTTATAAGTCCAACTCATCTTGATTGAGATTAGCCCAATAGTATATGTGTGTGTCACTGAGGTTCAGAGAAGCTGGGTAATACCCACTAAATAGAATATGTGGGGAAGCCCAAGGGTTGTTGGTAATAATTTTCTTTAGATTAGGATGAATGCTGGTAGACATTTCAAAAGCCATGCCATACATATTTGTTCTTTGACCCCTAAAATATTCTTTATTTATTCAAATGAACATAGATATTTGTTTAGACTGTAGCTAAATTAATGGGCATTCAAATTTTGTTATCTTCTTTGGGATTTTTCTTGCTCATATTCTAAACATAATTTTCTTTTGACCTTTTGTTTATGAAATAAACAGCTAGCATGAACTTTGGAAAATGAGTTTGGGTTCAATACATATTCATCAGATACATTTCTGTTGAAAGTGTATTTTTTGTAACTCACAGATTTGTGAGGAAACTGTCATAGACGATTATTCAAGATACTGACAAGTTGATGAAAGTACTATAAGAACATCCAAGAGCATTTTATAGCTAAACATCATTGTTATTATTCACATTTAATTGTCCCAAATTCTCCATGAAAACAATAATCATTACCTAATTCTTTAAATATATTAATAATCCCTATTATAGGATATTAATGTATGTGATAATTGTTGATAATTGTATAAATCACTCATGATGCAAATTTTCCCTCTCAAAAAATATTATTGAACACGTTTCCAATTTTAATAAAAATTTCATGTCTCTCTAATAATCCCTTGAGTGGAAATCTAATAAAAGGATATGCATACAAGAGAAAATTACTGAACATTTTTTATTTCTCTTGATTTCAACTTTATTTCTATAATAAATACTATGAATTACTTAAAGGGTTGGAATTTTTTAGTAGTATTTCGCACATACGTATATATACGTGTGTATATATATATACACACACATATTACATATATATAAAACATAATTTTTCCTAGTATTAACAGTTAGCTACCAAAATTCTATCAGTAAAATATTGGTTTTAATTTCTTACCAGGAATTGATATAGGAATAACTAATATAGAATTTTTCAGGAGACAACTGAAAATAGACTGATGGGCCTTGGCCACAGACTCTTTTGGTTTTAATCCTGGCTTCATATCATCTTTACTTATAAGTTAACATAAGCCTGGAAAGAATTCAGCTCCCATAACAAAAAAATTATACATGGATATCGGTGGATATAGGTATAGTTGTATATGGATATGGACACATGAATCCATATAACCGTATGGATACACAGATCAGAATACTTCTATCTCATAAGTTTGTTGTGAAGATTGAAAAGAGAATACAATTAAAGGAACCAGAACATTCTGGCCAATAAATAAATAATTTGTCTTAAAATAGCAATGATAAAAGCCAACTTCCATTGAATACTTAATATGTGCCAGGCCCAAAGAAAGAGTGATGAATAAAATAGTCAAGATAGTTCAACTCAAGGAGCTTATATCCAGGAGAGAGTAGAGAGATAGTAACTGAGTCAAACAATAAATAAAGAAGCTTAAATAAATTATCTGGGTGATGCTATAGAAAGTATCTTGTAGAACAAGTGCTTTACACAGAGTGAGAACTGAAAGCTTTTACAAGAAGATACCATTTGACCAGATGCCAAAAGAATAAAAAGCAGACTACATAGAATTTGAGGGAAGACCGAAAAGCATTAAGCTAGTTTGAGGAACCAAAAGAAAGATAGTTGAGACTTAAAGTTTTCTGAATTAGGAATTGTCTTATAAGATCTGAGGGGAAAGCAGGAGACAGATCATACACATTGTAGATCATGATAAGAAAGTTGGATTTTATTGTAGAGCATTCAGAAGCCACTGAAGGTTTGTTTCTAAGTAGGAGAGATTCATCATGGGAATTTAAGGTCTACTCTGGATGCTGTGTGGAGAATAAATTGTCAGGACAAAAGAGTGGAAAAAGGAGATTAGTCCAAACTTATTTACGAAGGTCTGGTAAGCATATGATGGCTTTTTAATCTGTCAAGTAGTGAAGTGGTTCCCAAGCAGCAGTGCCTCTTCTGTTGGTCACACTTCTTCATATTTGTCTGATAGGAAGTCAGCAAGCCCAAATGGGTTTGGATCATTTATTACTCACTGAAGAGCAGGCAGCATAAACTTCATATTTCTCTTACTTCTCTTTGGTCCAAAATCCCATGGGGGTAACACAGAGGTCGGCCTAGGTGAATATTGCACATGTAGTAGATCTGTGTCATGGTTGAAATTAAGATTAAGAGATCCTGATCTTGTCTAGGGGCTGATGGCAAATCTGCCCCTCTTCCCTTCCAGAAAGAGACATTATCTTTAGTAGCCTGAAACATCTCCAGGGAGAGAGACTGGCTTTCTTACCTTGAATGTAAGCCAACCTAGTCTCTGCTCTGGAGCAGTTTGGCAAACATCTTTAAACAAAGATGTCAATGTCTTTTGCCCAGAAGAGCTGCAGAAGTGCACTGCCTCCCAGCACATCTATGATCAAAATTTTAAAGGAAGGTGTGGCTGAGGCATAAAATAATACAGTGTAGGATATCTCAACTTAGTTCCATTTGAAACTTTTTTGCATGTCTTTTGCTTTTTAAAAACCATTTTCCAGTTCCAAATGAAAACAAATACAAATATCAACAAAATCTCCAGAATTAATAAAAAGAATGCTATTGCTTTTCATTTTTATTGGATATACAATAATTTTATTTTTCTAATGTTTTAGTCATTTTCTATTCCCAAACTTTCCCTCTAGCTCTGTACATTTAAGTCTTTGCCTTTCCTGGTCATCCCTCTACTTATATTGCTTTGGCTGCCTCCGTGTATTCCCAGGGACTCCTATGCATAGCTCTGTCAGAGCATGTAGCATACTTCAGTTTGCTATTTTTTGTCTTTACCATTGATCTTACACTTCCTGAGGTCAAGAATAATGTCATTCACTTCCATATGACTAGCATACCATATTTTTACTTTAAGGGAGTAGAAGCTTGATAAAAGTTTGTTGAATAAATGTTGAATTGATAGCCATTGTTGCATTGTTTCAGTTCAAATATTTCCTTTTTTACAGTAATTAACTCCATGGGAAAGTACTATCTCCCTTTTAGGGACTTGTGTATCCATGGGTTCCTCATCCAGGAATTCAACCAACTGCAGACTAAAAATATCAAACAAATGAAAAATAATAATACAAAAATAAAGTAATACAAATAAAAAACAATACAACTACTATTTACATAACATCTATATTGTATTAGGTATTGTAAGTAACCTATAGATAATTTAAAGTATACAGAGGCTGAACGTGGGGTACACACAATTATGACAGCATTTTATACTAGGGACTTGAACATCTGTAGATTTTGATATCCTCAGGGGTCCTGGAACCAATCCTCCTCCAATACTGTGACATTACTTTGTTTTTCATGGCAGTCATTATTTATTTACATATTTTTTCCTCATGAAAGATAAGTAAGTCTTCTTGAGGACAGAGGTGATACTATTTTTAATGACATACATCTTCTTAGTTCCCTGTAAAGAACCTGTATGGAGGAAGTCATCAAATATTTAAGTGAAATTGATGTAGCCAGGCGTGGTGGCATGCACCTGTAATCCCAGCTACTTAGGAGGCTGAGTCAGGAGAATCACTTGAACTCAGGAGGTGGAGGTTGCAGTGAGCCGAGATTGCAGCATTGCACTCCAGCCTGGGTGACAAGAGCGAAACTCTGTCTTTAAAAAAAAAAAAGAAATTGATGCAAGGCAGGTGAGCCCCCAAATTGGAGCTTAGCCCGGGAAGGTTCTTGGCTTTGCTCAGGAAAGAACTCAAGAGCAAGCTGATGGTAGAAGAAAGCAGCTTTACTGAGGTGGCAGTGTTGCTGCTCTGTGACCGCCCCTGCAGAGCAGAGCTGCCCCATAGGCAGTGCATGGAAAGTGGCAGTTCAGGGCAGTTCTGCAGTGATATTTATACCCACTTTTAATTACATGCAAATTAAGGTGCTGGTTGTTCAGAAATTTCTAGATAAATAGCGGTAACTTTCAGGTCATTGCCATGGAAGGGACAGTAGCCTCTGAGTGTTGCCATGGCAATGGTAAACTGACATGGCACAGGTGGGTGTGCCTTATGGAGAGATGCTTTCACCTCTTCCCTGTTTCAGCCAGTCTTCAATCCAGTCCAGAGTAAAGATCCACCACCTACCTCAGTACCCCCTCAGAGATTAGATACTCCTCCCTAATCTTAAGGGGGCTACAGAAAGGCAGAGGTCTATCTTCCGCAACTCCTTTCTTTTGAGTTTATGTGTGCAGGCCCTGCCCAGTATCAGAAGAGTAAAAATCTCTGCATACTTGATCTAAAGTGCCCCAAGGCAGGATGCCTTTATTCCCCAGGTCAGTAGACAAGATGGGGTGGAAGCCTTGTGTCAGCATTGTTGTTACCTGGGACTGCTGTAATGTAGAAGACAAACTTTACTAAGAGGTTAAACAAGCAAGGACCAACAATTAGTACTAACAAGACAGCTATCAAAGGTCCTAGGAGAAGTAAAAACCAGGTGAAACTTGGGAAGGCACTTTTGATAGTTGATGAGATATAATTAGGGTCAGTACCCTGGTTATATCTATGTAACCAGGTAACTTGCTCAAAGATCTTTTGCATGTTAACCTCAAGCTGTCTAGAGCTGTTAGTATATGTGCAGCAGATTTTGTTAGCAACTGTACAGGCTCAACTTTGTTCAGTTAATAAGCCAATGCTAGCCTGTTATTGAGAACTACATTTGCCAAAGAGTCTAGGGACTCTTGAATTCCCTCAGTGCCTGATCTGTGTTGATGTTTAAGGATTCTAGTGTTCGAGTCAAGTTCTTTAGCGTTGACTCCTGGTAGGCAACGTCACTCCAGGGTGCTGCTAGTCCTGTGGCCGCCCTGATTCCTGCAAGAATTAATTTCACTGCTTGCTTACTTCCTGTGTTTTGGGTCTTAAGGGTTATAGACTATAACTCCTGCAGGGGCAAGGGTGGCCAGTGTACATTTACCTGTGTTCCAAGTTTTTTTATATACAGGGGAAAGCTACTCCTAAAAGAACAGGCAGTTCCCTAGGGAATTGGGAGTGGTTATGGAGTGTGACTTCTTCCCATTCATGACTGCAAACAAAAATTAGCCCAGCTGGGCACAAACAAAGGCCCTATGGGGTGTGATGTCTATTCTTTGCTGCCAAGTAGAGTCTATGAGATATTCTTCCTCTGTTTAAATGGGGGTGGCCAAACAACCCTTGTTTTCCAGAAGGGTGTGGTACTCTCAGCTTCCTGGATTAGGCAGTAGTTTTTCCCCTATATGTTCTGATCCAGGAGAAAGCACCATATGTGGTCTCCTCACTTACAAGTGGAATCCCACTTACCTCGCTGTGGCCTTGGGAACTTGGCAACTAGAGTTGAATCGGAGCATTGCAGGGAGTCTTCTGCTTTTGTGTCATTAACCCAACAATGGTTGCAAAAGATAAAATCATTAATGCACTGGAGATATAGATACCCAACTTCCCAGGTCCAGGTAATAGTAGCTGGGGGGGTTCAGGTGGAATCCGTTATGTGGAGAGTTCTCCTTAACAAGCAGGGGTCTGGGTTCTTTGGGATTGCTATGGTTAGTTAGGAGGTCTAGGGAGAAGGCTGTGAGATTTTGAGATTTTCCAGATAGACCAGAAGGTGGAACTCTCTATCCTGGGGATGTTGATGACAAATACAGAAACCATGAAGATTTCCTGATGCTATAATTTTTGAAATATTTACTATAGAGTTTTTGTTCCCTCCCACACTGGATCAGGGTGATTGGGAGAGCAAACAGGACTCACAGTGACAGCATGGTGTCCAGTTGGGACTTAGAGTGACCTCTACACCCAACAAGGACAAAAGAAGTGTTTCAACCAGGAGAAGGTGGTTGGCCAAAGTGATAGAAAAGAGGTATTACAATCAGGAAGGGGAGAAAATTAATGCCCTTATTCTCATCCACAGCATCACATTACCACTTCTGGCTGAGTGTTGATTCTTTTAAATAGGTAGTGGAGGCCTTCCAAAGGTTCACAGATATATACAAGTCGTGGTGTCCCCCTTTTGTGCCTGTGACTCATAAGAAACAGGTTTTATCCTGGACCAGTATACCCAACTAGTTATTCCCTGAAGTTTAACAGCAGTGGGGGAACTTAATATCCGATAAGGGCCCTTTTATTTTGGTTGTAATTGATTCTTGGAGGATCCTTAATTTTAAAGTTTTTAGTAAGACTAAGTATTCTGGTTAGAGGCAATACTTTAGGTTCATATTCTTGAAAGACCTTGTGAACCTAGCCTAAATTTAAAATTTAGGGGGCATAGTGAGGTATGTCCAACCCCTTGTTTCCATCTTGGCCTGAATTAGTCTTTTTTATTTTTTAGATTTTTTTGGAGGATTTCCTTTGGCCAAGTGACTTAGAGTCAAAAGACTTATAGTCAATTAAACATTCTAGACCAGACAAGAGTGGAAGTGGGTAGAAACTCATTAGCCTTTAAAACCATTCTAAGCAATTTAAGAGTCAAAAAATAAAAACCAAAAATAAGATTCTACAACTGACTTAACTATAAATTCTGTGCATTGAGCTGCTGTAATCTTGGCTTGTAGCAATTAGCTATACAAGACATAAGCACTTTGTTTAGGCATCTGTCTGCCTGTCCTTGATTTGGAGGGTCTGGATTGTTTCCCTTGAAACCCAGTCTTTGCAGTCTCACACGCACACCTCTTCTGAGATAGTCCCCAAGCCTGGAAGAATTGAGTTGTTATAAATTCTGGAGGTAAAACATGAAGAATCAGCAATGTTACTAACAAAAAGGCCATAAGCCTTCCCTAGTTTTGAGAATGACAGGGAAGGAGTCTCACAGGTATCTAAACATTTAAGCTATTCAGTATCAAGACATATAATAAGTTATATTAATTCAGTTAGAGGCAAAATCATTAAATGGATACAAGCTTGTCTCTGTGTCTCATGAAAGCACTTTACTTTGATTTTCCCCTTTGCCCAGGTTTAAAGACAAGGTTTTGGTTAACTTGAGTTTGGTGTTAGATGCTGGAAGGAATTGGTGCTTTCTCCAGATGAGCTATGTGTACCCAGGAGTCAAAGTCCGGTAACTTAATAGCACATGGATTAGTTACCTAATAAGATTACCTGATAAGTTACCTAATTTGATTACCTGATAAGGAACTTGTCAAAGGTCTGGAGGTGGTGATCCTGGAAACCACGACCTGACTAGAAACTAAAAAAAGAATTTATAACCTTGTGATGATTAATTTTTATAGCTTTGATAAACCCCAGCAACAACCCAGAGATTTAAACTAGGATTTGATTCTGAGGGTGTTTGTCAAAGGTGTTAAAAGGCCCAAAATATTTGATCAATATGGAACCACAGGTTATTGTAAGCAATAGTTACTTGTTTATCCAAAGTGGTAACACCCTCTGCAATATGATTACCTCTCCTATGGGAAGCCCACTTAAATAACCTGAAAATTAAATTTGATGGAGAGAAAAAGAATACTTTAATTTGATCAAACACAGGAAAAATGTGTTTAAAGCTATGAGTATAGCAAAAGAACACGAAAAGTTTTCCAGTTACACTGAAAATCTAGAAACATCAAGAAAAACCAAGAATCCCATGGCTGCTTTTTGTAGCTTTCTCCTGTCAAGGGCAGATTGAGTAATAAAATACATACCCAGGAGAGCTTGCCCTTCAGAAGAGTCTAGATTTGTATTGGTGTATTTCCTGAGTGTCTCAACCAAACCACCCTGAAACAGAGTGGGATTTTTTATTTTTCCCTGAGTTGTTTCTCTAACCTTGTCTTAATTGACTGGCTGAACTGCACACTCTTTCCTCCACTTTTTCTCCACGGTACGGCAAGCAGACAACAATATTTGCAAGTCATGACAAGTTAAATTAAAGAACATAGTCAACTTAATGAACTCCTCTATAAACTTTTCTGAGTTCTCTGAAAACTGACCACATTTTTCATTGCATGAAGCCAAGTTGCACATAGAAAATGGCACATGTACTCTAAATGTTCTGTTATTTCCATCAGCTACTGCCTGCAATGGACACAGGTTTGATTTTCGGGGCTGATATGGGGCCCTGCTCCTGGTGGTACTGGTTGGTTTTGCTTTCTTGGGAAGAGTGGGTATAGGCTGGGGATTGTTAGATAGGCTGGTACCTGATGACCTTGGGGTGAAATCCTTTATTAGAGAACTGGCAGGACCGCCCATCAGAACTGGGGGACTGAGGAGGCTCCAGAGAGGGTGTAGGCCTTCTAGGGGGAGCATCTAGTAGGGGGTCCCTTAGGCATGGCTTCCTGGTGCCTGGAAGTAACATGAGCCAGTAAAAAGCTCTAAAAGCCTGCACATAAGGGACCTCTTCCCAATTTCCTTCTACAGAACTAATGTAAAATAATGTAAAGACCCAGGCCTAGGATGGATCTGTTTATTTTCTAATTGGTAACAGACCCAAACAGTGATGCAATAGAAAATGAGTTTCAAATTTGAATTCGCTCCAAGAACCTAAAAGACACCCCGGTGGCAAGTCATCTGGGATACTCATCATTGTTCCCATGGTTTGCTACAGGACTCAGAAGTTTTTCTAATTCTAGTGTGAGTAAAAGCAACTGGGCTCTTGCAACTTTTCCTTTTTAGATTCTTACTAACTGCAGAGAAGGTGAAAGTATAGAAAGCAAGACATTATGAAAGTGGATTATATTTGCCAATGAACAAAGCATGACAAAAAAGTATTTTTATCAAGCAAAGTGTAGAATGAAAAGTGTAAATAAACTGACAATAAGAAAATCCTGTTATGGAAAGTGATATATTTAGGGCAGAAAGCAAGAAAAGGCAAGACCAAGATTCCCCTAGGGGAATTCCAATGCTGAAAACCCCGGAGCATCCAGCGGGCAGCCAATACCAAATGCTGAAAAGCTGGAGTAGCTGAGTATCAACCAGTGGGGTTCCCCACACCAAATGTCAGAAATCTTCAAGTATCTGGGGGCTGGCCAATGCTGAAAACCCCAAAACATCAGTGGGGTGGCCAACAGGAAACCCAAAGGCCTGGTTAGGGCCACAGAACAATGTGACTCTGGTGTCCCAGAGTCAACACAACAGGGGACTTCTCATAACCAAGTGTCTTGCTTTACACAATTGCCCAAATACAGTTAACAGAAAGTCAAAGCAAAAACAAAAAACCAACAAAAACTCTGCAGACAAAATGTACATTTTAGAACTGAAAATAAAATGGCTGGTTGAGCAATAAGATGAAGTCAGAAGAGAAAGGACCAGGGAAAGCAATGACAAGGGTATCTTTGAATTTTTTGTTATTAGAGAAGACTTTTGCAAAAATTTCTTGGTATGACATTTATACATGGCATTCAGGACATGTTACCCCAAAATATGGCACCTTGGCATATTGACTGTTTTAAACTGAAGCATTTGAGAAACCACATGTGCAGAAATAACTTTCTGACCTTCCCCTGAAGTGGGTCATAAGACCCTTATGTGAAAGGTATCCTCCTTCCACCTGAAGGAATGGAGCAACCTTGTCTTCAAAGAGGAAGAGACACCAGTAGAAATCTGAACACACAGGCCTGGCTGTTTCCCCTGGTTTACTATAGCTCATACCTTGTCCTATCACATTTCTCCACAACTCTCCACTCTTGATCAAATCTAGCATTTAAAACACTTATTCTTCACTTCCTTATGAAGGCCGCGTGTCAAGTGAAGCTATATTATAAATTTATATGATTTTCTCTTATAAATCTGTTTTTTGTTACAGGGGCCCAGCTGAGAACTTAGAAGAGTAAATGAGAAAGATATTATATTAGTCTGTTTTCACCCTGCTAATAACAACATACCCAAGACTGGGTAATTTATAAAGGAAAGAGGTTTAATTAACTCACAGTTCTACATGGCTGGGGAGGCCTCATAGTCATGGCGGAAGGTGAATGAGGAGCAAAGTCACGTCTTGCATAGTGGTAGGCAAGAGGTGTGTGCAGGAGAACTCCCCTTTATAAAGCCATCAGATCTCCTGAGACTTATTCCTATCATAAGACCAGCACAAGAAAGACCCGCCCCCATGATTTAATTACCTTCCACTGGGTCCCTCCCATGACATGGGAATTATGGGAGCTACAATTTAAGAGGAGATTTGGGTGGGGACACAGCCAAAAGATATCAGATATTTTTCCTCCCCTACAGACATGTATTTAGAGAGGGAGAGGTTGTTCTTTGTATCTTATTTTGTCATAATGTGACATGTCAATAAAATATTGTGATTATAATGGCATGTGTGTTTATTTATGTTAAGAAATTCTAAATAATCTCTAAAAAATCACATTCCTGAGAGTCTTTCATAATAACTATAAGGTTTTTTTAAAAAGCATTTTTCTCTCTCTCTTTACATAATCAAATTGAAGGTATTATTTTGGCCAGATTTTTAGATTTATTTTCTGAAAAATAATATAAGTTTATGCCAGATTGTGTGATGTTCTCTTTTGTTCTACAAATGCACATTTTGAAGCTGTGATATAAATATTAGGATTCATAAACATTAAAAAATGTGGCACTATTTTGACCTGCTGTGTTCCTTTTTCTAAAAATAACTCATATTTATTACATTTTCTTATTGAAATTTTAATATCTGGGTACTACAGTAATACAACTGTTCAATAAATATGTAATGAGTGATATTGTTAAGTATCTACTTTACATTACAGTCATACATAACTTTTGACATCCATAAAGGTGATTGTGTATTATAATAAAGTCTGAAGCAGTTATACTATTTTTCCGTTTTATTTTAGGTAACAGTATATTTTGTTCCAAGCATGTGGTAACCATAGTATTTGAATATCCAGTCCTATATATGGTGTTCAAGCTGTTCTGTTCCATTACTAATGTCCTTCAACTAGAAATTTAAAAATGTAGGTTTTCAATCCAATTTCACTATTACACCAACAGCCATTTGAATTTAAGCAAGTTCTTATCCTAAATCCAGTTTCTTTTTCTGTAATACTCAGTTCAAACATTCAATAAACATTTCCTGAGCCCTTGTTATATTCTAAACACTGTAAGCATAAGGTTGAAAGGCATAGACTTTAAGAGGTTAGTGGTGTCAAAGTATAATTTTCAAAAAGTTAGCCTGGGTAACATGGTGAAACCCTGTCTCTACCAAAAATACAAAAAAAAAAAAAAAAAAAAAAAATTTAGCCAGGCTTAGTGGTGCACAACCCTGGCTCCAGCTACTCAGGAGGCTGAGATGGGAGGATTCCTGGAGCCGGGAAGGTGGGGGTGGCAGTGAGCCATGATGGTGCCACTCCAGCCTAGACAATGGAGGAAGACGCTGTCTCAAAAGAACAACCAAAAAGTTAAATATGTACCTGTCAAATGAGCATGAAGTGAACACATGTCAAATATTTAATTCTCTCCATAGTGCTAGAATCTGTAAGATGGTAATAGTGGTTCAAAGAAAGAAGGAAGTATTTAGACTAGCTGAAAAAGGAACACTTGAATAATGAAGGCTATTAGAACATCCCACCCCAGTATAGTCTCTTTGGCATATGGATTGTTTTGAGCTAAACACAACTGGGAACCAGCAGATGGAGAAAAAATTTTCTTTACCTTACTGCCTAAAAATAGAGAATAAATCTTCCCTTTTGTAAGGAAAATTATTTCCATTTATAAAGGAAATTTACAGTTGTAATTGTGTCTCATACCAGAGATAACTCTTATGCGCTGAACAACTCTTATCTGCAGAAGACAACTGTTATTTACCATACATTTCTCCCCATTCTTACCTTCCCATAACATTCCTCCCCTGTGTAGAAGCCCCATACTCCTTTTCCTTTGTTTAGCCTAAAATGGTTTATAAGCCCCAATCACCTGCCTGCCTGCTTGAGGCTCATTTATTTGTGAGACTTCATTGCATATATGTGTAATTAAAACAGATTTTTCTCTTGTTAATCTATCTTTTAACAGTTTGATTTGTGGGCCTCAGTCATCGAACCTAGGAGGGCGGGGGGAATAATATTTTTCCTCCCTCATAACAAGATTGCTGATTTAAATGTAACCCTAGTTAATTATCTTACAAAAGATGTGAACAACAAAACCACATTGCTATAAAACAATCATTTGAATTTACTGACTGGTGATTATCTTTGTAGAGTTGTAACTTACCTAAATCAATAGTAAATAAGCCTAGGGGCATAAAGATGTACTACTTTTCCTCAACCCATCTGAAGGGCAATGGCAACATTCTTATAACAAAAGACAAGTTAACCTGAGAAAAGCATAAATTTATTTAGTAAAAGTTTTATGTGACACAAGAAACTTCAGCAATGGAGATGCAAAGACTCAGGGAAGACTGTCTGTTTTTATGCTTAGGTTCTATGAAGAATGCCCATCCATGTAGAAATGTGATTGGACAATGATGGTATGGCCTAATGATAATAGACTGAGGAGGGAAACTCAGCAAGGTTTTTCTTTCTGTGTAGCATTCCCTCCTCCTGGGTATAGGGCAGTACCCCTCTGAAATGGCAGTCTGTTTGGCAAAGGCACTTGACAGCTGTAACTGAAGCACACCCTGAGAGTGATCCTATGGTCTAAGAAAAGTGTTGGTTCAGGGTTCTGAGCTAAGATATCTGGAAATGGCCAATATGGAGATTCACTCCTTATCTATGAAGGACATTTGAACCCTTGGCCCATCCCTTGGAATGCAGGCCATACAGGGGATTGAGGTCCTTTGTTTTGGGTTAAAAGGAAGTTGCTAGGTGGAGGGTGCTAAGTAGAAATGCTGCATAAACTACATGCTTTTTGCAAACGGTAGTCGCACTGGACTGCCCCGTACATAAGTCCTCAATACACCCTATTAGCTGTTTCTGGCTCTCTTCTGTGGCCTCTTGTGCACAGTACTATACTTATTGGAGCCAATAAGGGTCTAGCACAACAGGGTCTTCAAGAGAGAAGAGAGATGGGAGAGAGCAACCTTTCTAGGTTTTACGGCTCACTTTGTGGAAGAGAAGTTCTAGTTTGTATTATTGTATTTGTTTTCATGCTGCTCATAAAGACATACCTGAAACTGGGAACAAAAAAGAGGTTTAATTGGACTTATAGTTCCACATGGCTGGGGAAGCCTCAGAATTATGGCAGAAGCTGAAAGGCACTTCTTACATGGTGGTGGCAAGAGAAAAATAAGGAGGAAGCAAAAGCGGAAACCCCTGATAGTCCCATCAGAGCTCCTGAGACTTATTCACTATCACAAGAATAGCACAGGAAAGACCAGCCCTCGTGATTCAATTACCTCCCCCTGGGTCCCTCCCACAACACATGGGAATTCTGGGAGATACAATTCAAGTTGAGATTTCGGTGGGGACACAGCCAAACCATATCATTTCACCCCTGGCCCCTCCAAATCTCATGTCCTCACATTTCAAAATCAATCGTACCTTCCCAATAGTCCCAAAAAGCCTTAACTCATTTTAGCATTAACCCAAAAGTCCACAATCCAAAGTCTCATCTGAGACAAGGCAAGTCCCCTCCAGCTATGAGTCTGTAAAATCAAAAGCAAGCTAGTTACTTCCTAGATACAATGGGGGTACAGATATTTGATAAATACACCTGTTCCAAATGGGAGAAATTAGCCAAAACAAAGGGCCATGCAAGGGGTTACAGGGCCCACACAAGCCCAAAATCCAGTGGGGCAGTCAAATTTAAAAGCTCCAAAATTATCTCCTTTGACTTCAGGTCTCACATCTAGGTCACACTGATGAAAAAGGTGAGTTCCCATGGTCTTGGGCAGCTCCACTCCTGTGACTTTGCAGGGTACAGTCTCCCTCCTGGTTGCTTTCACAGGCCGGTGTTGAGTGTCTGCAGCTTTTCCAGGTGCACGGTGCAAGCTGCTGGTGGATCTGCCATTCTGGAGGATGGTGACCCTCTTCTCACAGCTCCACTAGGCAGTACCCCAGTAGGGACTCTGTTTGGGGGCTCTGACCCCACATTTTCCTTCTGCACTGCCCTAGCAGATGTTCTTCATGAGGGCCCCACCCCTAAGGCAAACTTTTGCCTGGGTATCCAGGCATTTCCATACATGTTCTGAAATCTAGGTGGAGGTTTCCAAACCTCAATTCTTGACTTCTGTGCACCTGTAGGCTCAACACCATGTGGAAGTTGCCAAGCCTTGAGGCCTCCACCCTCTGAAGCCAAAGCCTGAGCTGTATGTTGGCCCCTTTCAGCCATGGCTGGGCCTGACAATCTTCAAAAAATACACTAAAAGGAAATATTGCAATCTCTTTTGCTTGTTTACAAGTTTTGGGTACTTTTCTTAGAAGAGGGAAAGAGAGATCAGTAAAGTATGATAAGTGCTTTGATGTAAGCAGGAGCAGGGTACTATAAAACTAGAGGAGTCCCCACTTTTCTGTAGTTTTGCTTTCTGCAGATTCAGTTACCTGAGGTCAACCACGGTCTGAAAATATTAAATGTAAAATTCCAGAAATAAACAATTTATAAGCTTTAAGTTGCGTGCCATTTTGAGTAGCATGATGACCTCTCACACCATCCTGTTTCATTCTACCAAGGACATGAAACATTCCTTTGCCCAGCAAATCCATACTATGATATCTGCTTGATTAGTCACTTAGTAGCATCTTAGTTACCAGACAGATAAAAAAAAACATAGTGTATATAGGGTTTGGTAGTATCTGCGGTTTCTGGCATTCACTGGAGGTCTTAGAATGTATTCCTCATAGATAAGAAGGGACTACTGTGCAGCAAAACGTACTTATTGGGGACTGTGGGATGAGCAGAGGTGTTTTCAAGGAAGATGTGAAAATGCTAGGAACATTCCTTCTGAGACCTGAAGAACAGGTAATCAGACAGCAAAGGAGAAAAAACAATGTAAAGAGAGAACTCTGCCTTTGACTCCTCTTTGGGCTACTGTGTGGATGATAGGAGATAAAAACTCCAAAAACAGTAAATAGAAAGGAAAAAAATCGGATTAATGAACAAATGCAAGAGTGGGAAGCAAAGTTGTTTTCTTCGTAGAAGGATTAATCTGACTCAGAAAGTGTAGAACAAATTAAGTAGTCAGAGACTCAAGGACACAGCTTTAGTATCAGCAGGAATGCTTCAAATAGCTTGAAAAAGACAACCTACTGGGGAATAATTCTTGACATTGTGACTATGGGTTGCCTGGAAATACTACTGGTTCTATTTATTATTATATTCTCTTGTCAAGGTTTCTCTATAGGAACAGTGATTACAGCTGATATCAAGATTGTAGATTCCACAGAGACTCTTTTTAATATATATAATTATGGTCAGTGACAAACAAGCATAATTTCAGCATCTGAATACTGTACATTGGAGAAAGAGGCTTAACCTTAAAAATGTTAACCTAATCACAAATCACTTTCCATGACAACTCTTTTATACTTTCTGGTTAAATCTGGTTAATGATACCATTGGCATCATTACATCATTCATTCGATTATATTCAAATCATTACATCTTCAATTTATTTGCAAATCCATATGCAAACCTTTTTCTAAATATTTTTTTCTGAGATAGTAACAAAGGCTTGTTGAATTTTCTATGATGCCAGTTTTGGGCAACAGAAAACTTAGTTTAGTAATAATGTAAATTCTTTTGTTCCAAATATCTTTCACTACTTTTTAACTTAGGACTTTTGAAAACCAAATAAAAAATAATTTAAAAGAATATATACTCTCAGATCATTGAATAAAACAATATTCATGAATAATGGCAGCTTTTATAAATTTATGCATGATAATCTCTAAATTATATATGAGAATCCTGAGAGCATTTTCAAATTCATTTTAACTAAAGCATTGACTTTAATAATTAGTCTTGCTTGTCTAGAAAATTATCTATGGTCTGATTTTTTTTTCTTTCTCCTTTTTTTTCCAAGATTTGTTATTCCTCTACTATATATCCTCACTTATTTATTATGAGAAAGAGGATAGCAGCCCCTGACAGCTAAAAACTGTTCTTGAACCGTCGCTTAGCCCTCATTCTTGCTGGCTGTTGACCTTGCGTCTGCTCTTCTCCTGTTGAACATAAACAATTTTATGACTACAACATCAGACAACACCATAGATGCCACCAACATCTGTGACTATAATGGATAAAGACTAAAACAAGATGACTCTATAATTATGTCTAATAACAGACAAAAACATGCATATTATCAAAACCCAAAAATGACCAAACTCCTCCTCTGCTGGCTAATATGTGTGGCTCCTTTGCCAATCACAGCTTTAGCCATGTTCCCTTCTTCCCTCACTCTAGATGAGATTCATTAAGATACTGTAGCAGACCAGCTCCTAGATGACCCAAGTTTTCCCACCTCCTAGTCATCACACCTATGTGTAATCCCCTTCCCTTGAATATAGGCAGGATTTCTGACTTGCTTTTAACCAGAATAATATGGCAAAGATGATGTGATTTCGCTGCTGTGACTATGCTGCATAAGCTTGTTAACTCCCATCTTGCCAGCAGACACTCTTGACTATTACTGACTCTCCCACTCTGCCTTGCTGCCTTTGATTAAGCAAGCTGCTGTATGCAGAGGGCCACGTGGCAGGGAACTGAGGGCAGCCCCAGCTGACAGCCAGTAAGGACCTGAGGCTCTCAGTATGACAACTCAGAAAGAGCTGAATTCTGCTAACAATCTCCTGAGCATGGAAATTGAGCCTTCCCTAGTAGAGCCTTGAGATGAGACTACAGCTGCAGTTGACACGTTGCTTGCAGACCCTGAAAAACCCTGAAGCAGAGGATGCAGTTAAGCTGTGTCTAGAGTCCCAAATCTCAGATATAGCAAGATAAATGTGCAGTTTTAATCCACTAAATGTGTGGTAATTTGTTATGCAATGATAGATAGCAGATACAATGGTCAATTGTAGAATTAACTCGAATTCCTGAAAACAATCAATATATAACAAAGCCCCACTTCCTTCAAGCTGTCCCCAGGTCACCTAACAAAAGCCCAAATTTTATAATGCATTCTTAACAGCCTTTTTATTGAGACACACCCACAATTCCCACTGGTATGCATTTTCCTTTGTTACAGTGAGTAACCTCAACTTTGCTCAATTGTAGCTGTATTTGTGGTGGCTTTAGGCTGTTGGATTGTGACACTTTGTCTTTCAATGCTGAGCTAGTTCTATCTGTTGACCACTGACCTTCCAAAAAGCTCCCATGCCCCCACCAAAAAAAAAAAACCTGTTATCAAACAAAACTAAGTTTATTAGATCTGCTATAGAACTCTAGCTTGCCAGAATCTTAGTGGTGTCTTACAATGTAGAATTTAGGGGAGGATATTTATGAGGCTTTAGGTCCTTGGTAAGTGATTTTAAAGTGTGTGTTGCAAGGTGAGGAACTGGTTGGGACGGGGCAGCCTTAATGGCATAATAATTTGGGATACTTGAGTACAACTAGGTGGAGATCCTGCAATGAGCTTTGATGAACAAATACTTTTGTCTTGATAATTAAGGTAAAGTAACACATTGCTTAACTACCAGGATATTTTTTTTTTTTTTTTTTGAGACGGAGTTTCACTCTTGTTGCCCAGGCTGGAGTGCAATGGCACAATCTCAGCTCACTGCAACCTCCGCCTCCCAGGTTCAAGCAAGTCTCCTGCCTCAGCCTCCCGAGTGGCTGGGATTACAGGCGCTCACCGCCACACCGGGCTAATTTTTGTATTTTTAGTAGAGACAGGGTTTCACCATGTTGGCCAGGCTGGTTTTGAACCCCTGACCTCAGGTGATCCACCTGCCTTGGCCTCCCAAAGTGCTGGGATTACAGGCATGAGCATCCACCACACCTGGCCAGCTACTAGGATATGTTATAAGAAATGCATTGTTAGGTGATTTCGTCATTGTATGAACATCAGAGTGAACTTACACAAACCTAGGTGGTATAGGCTATACACACCTAGGCTAAATGGTATAGACTATTGCTCCTACGCTACAGACCTGTACAGCGTTACTGTACTAAATACTATAGGCAAATTGTGACACAGATGGTCAGTATTTGTGTTTCTAAACATAGAAAAGGTACAAGAAGAATACAGTATTATAATCTTATGAGACTATTGTTGTATATGTGATCTGTCCTTGACTGAAACACCATTATGTGGTACATGCCTTTATTTTAATTTGTTTAGTGTTATTTCCTAGGAGCAAATATTTCCTGGATCAGGTAGGTAAGTTATTTTTACTTGCCCCCAGTATTGTTTAACACTTTGACATAACAGTATGTTTTGTCTCAGTATTGTTTATCATAAGGGCAGGGAATAAGGTTAGTTTCAATTTTCATATTATTGTATTATGGCCCTTGTTGCTATTTGTAGGGATGATCTGCTTAACAGCATAGTTCAAATTTCTCTTTAAATGCAGATGCTATTTGCTCTGCTGTAAAGGAGGATTGGCCTAACCCTAATTACCCCATATTTAATGCCAATTATAGCTCTTTCCACCTTCTCTCATTCTCTATTTTCATCATAAGATCCTATGAGAACATTCCAAGTGGAAATGCAAAGAAGTTCTTAATTTAGTACTTTTGGACGGATCTCAGTCTCAGGCCTGAGTGATGAACACAGTCCTCTCTGGGCATAGTGTGTACGTCCTGGCTCTTTTGAGTAATATTATTAAAATACTTTTTGGGTATAGCATTTCAGAGTTTTACCTTTTTTTTTTTTTTTTTTTTTTTTGAGACAGAGTTTCACGCTTGTTGCCCAGGCTGGAGTGCAATGGTGTGGTCTCTGCTCACTGCAACCTCCGCCTCCCGGGTTCAAGCGATTCTCCTGCCTCAGCCTCCCGAGTAGCTGGGATTACAGGCATGCGCCACCACACATGGCTAATTTTGTAGTTTTAGTAGAGACAGGGTTTCTCCATGTTGGTCAGGCTGGTCTCGAACTCCTGACCTCAGGTGATCTGCCCGCCTCGGCCTCCCAAAGTGTTGGGATTACAGGCGTGAGCCACTGCGCCCAGCCAAAGTTGTACTATTTAACAGCCTCACACTCTCTATCTTGTGGTTATATCTATACCTACAATTTTTCCAATATTGAAATAGCCTATTTGATAATATGGAAACATTCCTACCCATTAAAAACTCCTTTTAAAAAATCCTAGACAGGAATAAAAATCTTTTGAAATGCATTGCCTTGTGATAAGGTGTCGAAGTTCTGTCTTCTCATTGGCAAGTCAACATGGTAGGGACTCATCTTTCTGTTCTTGCAGCTTTCAGTTCTAACCAACTCCTGCGCTGCTTCTCCTTTGGAATCTTTCTTTTCCACTTGCTGGGCAAACACAGAAAGGCAATTTCTTCCCTCTCTATTCTTATCAGAAAATAACTGCAGGTATATGAAGTGTAAACTATATATGTATTATGGTTATGGGGCCAATGCAAAATGTCATATAACTGGAGGTTTTTATTGACCATTAATTTAGGGCATATCAAATGCCAAGAACAGATATGTATAACTCAGGTCACAAATTTGAAGCAATTAACTCTGCTGTAGTTCACTGGGAGAAATAACCTCTTTTTTCCCTTTCTGTATCAGAGCTAGACATATTGTAGTAGGTACTACGCAATACATACTTGACTGATTCCAAGTCAAATAAATTCGACAGCTATGATTGAGTGTCTATTACACGCCAGTCCCTTTTCAAGGTGCTTGTGATCTGTCTGTAAAGAAAAGATTCCTGTCTCGTGAAGATTACATTCTAATAGGTGAAGCCAGACAATATATATTGAATAGGATAAATAATTGAACTAGGTGACATGTTAGGAAGTGACAGGTACTATGTAAAATGGAAAAAGTAGAGAATGTGAGAGGAATGAGGGGTGGTGGAGGGGATGGTGGGGCAGATGTTACTGTTTTACAATGGCTGGGCCTTGATGAGGCAGAGTTTGCCAAAACATCTCAAAGAAGAGGTTTTCACTTAGAAGGAACAGCCACAACAAAGGCTCAAGGCCAGTGTCTCTAGCATGTCAGAAAACATGGAAGAAAGCCAGCGTGGCCACAGCAGAGTGAGCAAGGGAGAGAACAGCAGAGCAGTGGATGTCACACGTCACAAAGTGGTTTCTTCAGGTATTTTACTCTAGAATTCGCAATGACTTATTTCATCAAATTTCTCTGTTCAAAAATCACTTCCATGAATAGAAATAGCCAAATGAATATGGAAAATATTTTGATATTTCTTATTATGCATAATAATGGTCAAAAAATGCATTTGTATTATGAAATATATTATGATAAACAGATCTCATTTGGAATTATAAAAAGTACATGAAAAAATTAATTTAAAAAATTCAGTTTTGGGTTAAACTTTCAATAAATACACTACCGAACTCTAAAAGTAAAGGGTAATTGAAACGCCTATACAAACAGAACTTCAGTCTTAGCACAGATTTCTCACATTACAGAATCTCCATTAATGTTGGCTACTTCCCAATTTAGGGTTTTCTAGTGATTCAGGAATTTAGTCACTTAGTGTCATCTAGTGGCATTTCTTGGTATAGCAAATAAAAGAGTTTAAAAATATTTGTCAAATTGATATAAAAGGGGCAGAAATTGGCCGGGCGCGGTGGCTTACGCCTGTAATCCCAGCACTTTGGGAGGCCGAGGCGGGCGGATCACGAGGTCAGGAGATCGAGACCATCCTGGCTAACACGGTGAAACCCCGTCTCTACTAAAAATACAAAAAATTAGCCGGGCGTGGTGGCAGGCACCTGTAGTCCCAGCTACTCGGGAGGCCGAGGCAGAAGAATCGCGTGAACCCGGGAGGCGGAGCTTGCAGCAAGCCCAGATGGCGCCACTGCACTCCAGCCTGGGCGACAGAGCGAGACTCCGTCTCAAAAAAAAAAAAAAAAAAGGAGCAGAAATTATGGATAGCCTTGGAAGTACTGTGGTATTAACCAATCAAATAATTTAAAGGCTGTTAAAACAATAACATGGGAAACAACCAAAGATAATCAATAAGGGAGTGATGGCCTTCACACTGATAACCCGACCGACCCCAACTTGGCATCGGAAGGCAGATTTTCAGAATTAGGGCTCTGTCTTTTTAGGTTTTATCGAAGCCAAAGAATTAAAAAAAAAAAAGTTTCAGAGCTTGAAGAAACTATAAGCAGCCATCATTCCAGTATGTGAAAGTATAATACTAATGCTCACTTAATGATAGCAATGAGAATACCTCAAAATATTTAATGCAATTACAATAAAAAATTAACGTAATTTATTGGTTGATCATTCACTTCACCTCAATTTTTGTGACACATTTTTTGGTGTCGTCTTTCTATTGGAAAATCGCTTTATAATAAATCTTCTCAGGCCAGTGTGAGGTTTATTTTCAAATGTATTTCTTGTTCACTGACTGATTGAACCATAAAGCGTCAATTCTGCCAGTCATTTGGGTAAGTGAGGAGCACTGCTCTGGGAGTCAGGAACCCTGCGTTCAGATCCAGCTCTGTCCAATTGTGAACTTAGGTCAACACTGTGAGTCTAGGTTTCAATGTCTTCACCTTAAAAAGAAGGCAAAAGTGTTTTGCTTTAAAAATATGTTGTTATAATAGCCTATTATGCAACCACATTGTAATAAGTAAATTTTATTACAATGCTTTACTATATTATTAATATTATTTTCTACTCCATCATGTACTTAAATCTTAGCAGTTACAGAAATAATGAAATATCTTTCTCCAGGAAATTATAATACAGTTAGAGGCTTTTGAGATGATGATGGAGACAAGAATCTAAGATAGAAGAGAATTTTTATTCTAAAAAGAGAGAAAAGCGAAAATATTAATACATACTGTCTAAGAGAAAAGGGATCTAAATACAAATGGCACTATAAATATTTTAGACCTAAAGGACAAATATTCTGCTAGCTGTTGTCACTTGATTTTGATACTTTGTTTATCTTTTACTTCGGGGTTACAAAATCAGTGAGTCAAATTATTACATGCCTTGTAAGAGGTCATAATTTTAGAAGAGATTTTATTAAATCACTATTGCTATATGACATCTGAACTGTTAATAGTTTTTACATGCCATTAAAATACCCACTAGATATGTTAAACACTTTTAAATTGATAAAGCTTTTGCATCTGATTTCACTTTATTGTGTAGTATAAATTTTACTGGGATATTTTTATGGTAGAGCATAAAATACACAGGCATATCACCCTTTCTACAATACATTACTCACCTGAGTCCTCAACATTTGGGACATCACATAGTATTGGAGAGCCTGAGTTCACATTATTTTGATTTTGTGACCTTGATTTTTAAATCTTGAATTAAAAAGTACAGTTCCGGAAATAGGTGATAAATAGATCAGTTAAATCTAAAGGCAGCAGTAAATCAGTAGTTTTAAAGCTTGTTTGTTGATAAGGATCTTAAGGGGCATTTCCTCAAAATACAGTTTGCTAGGCCATGTTCCAGACCTGCTAAATTAGAATCTTCAAAGAAGGAGTCTCAAAATGTTGTTTTTGTAAAATGTGCCCCCTGGAGATTATCGTCGTATTAATTTATAAAGCACAACTCTAATTCAAATATAAAATATAGCATAAGACACAATCTTAAAAGGCAAGATAAATAAGAACCCCTTTTCTAATACTTCTAACTTTGAATAAGTACCTTCACTAATTTAAGTCTTGGTTTTCTTTTCTGTAAAAAGGGTAACAATGATTGCACCTAAGTAAAGATAGGGTGGTGAACGTTGAGTCAATGCTCGTAAAACACCTAGTACATTACCTGGCACAAAATAAGGGCTTAGATAATATTAGTGTGATTATTGCAATGTCAACATCGTCATTCTTACAGAATGAATTCAGTTCTTATGATTTATAGTCACTTAAGAAATATTTATTCACAGTGGAAAATTTCTAAAGTTATTAAAGCTGTAGAGAAGTTGAATCGTAAAATAAGAGTATGTTGTACTCGTGTTTTGTGTTTGCATAAATCTTGAAATAAACTTTTTGGAAGTTCTTTGCTTTCAAAGAGTTATACTCCCACCTTGTGGCAAAGGGCTGTAGAGCAAAGACAACAGTACCTGACTCCCTTGGGGATCATGGGATCAAAAATTATTTTTACAAGTGAAGAAATGAAAATAGCTTTACAAATATTGGCCAATAAGTGTAAATGAATGAATAAATAAAAAAGTAAATTTTTAAACAAGAAAGTAAAATTAAGAAATAAAATACTAACTTGAGAATTGCAAATCTTTCACAGGCAGGATGCCGCCAAGGTAATGATTTGCCAGGTGCATTCGTTTCTTTGGAGACCTCAGAGAACTGAGTAAGCCAGATTTGAGCTTGGAAAAGTCAACATGATCAGGGCACTAAGAGTTCGAGTTACAGGCAACCCCCACTGTGTCTCAGATACTCAACTTAGGTAGAACATTGAACATGTGTTAGCCAGTTGAAGTTCATCATAACTTTATTTGTAGATTTGAACTTTATACATAGAATTCAAATTCCTAAAATCATTTTATGTGTATTTCAAGAATCCACTTAGAGAAATATTTAAGACTAATTTTACGTGAAATCTTGTCTTTCTATGTCCCGTTCCTCTCATATCCATTGTCTCTCCTTGACAGTTTTCATGATGATGGAATTATTGATTTAGAATTAAAGCACAAATTTCATGAAGATTTTACTTTATTTCAATTTCATTGTTCAAAATGAATATTCAAAAATCAGACATTTATCCGATCTGCCATTAATGTGAAACACATTGATGTGAACTGTCAATGGTGCACTGAATTATTTCTTTCTTATCAAATTTCATCAGTTCAAATGTAGATTTTAATACTTACCAGCTTCAAGTTAGCAGCATTGGCCAGCTGAAATTAAGTTTAAAAAGCCATTTGGTATAAAATAATTAATTAATTGCTAGCAAGCTTCTCAGCATTTTCTGATTTTGCGTTTAATGAAACTCCTCTGAGCATGTCAAAGTATCCCCTACTCAATTCTCATCCACAGGTATTCAATTATCACTCTATTAATATATAGACCAATAATGGCTTCCTTAGTAGCAAGTAGACTTCACCTTGCTAGCAATTAGGAGGAAATTACTCCTGAATCACATGGAGAAGGGGAACATTTCTTAATAGGTAATTCTTTAAACTTAGAGAACTATGATAGTGCTTAGACTAATATAATTTGTAACAATTTTCCTGTTTTTAAAAAATGTGTCTTTAAAAAATAGAATGTTGGGCTGGGTGCTGTGGCTCACACCGGTAATCCCAGCACTTTGGGAGGCCGAGCGGGGTGGATCACCTGAGGTCAGGAGCTCGAGACCAGCCTGGCCAACATGGTGAAACTTCGTCTCAACTTAAAATACAAAAATTAGCTGGGCATGGTGGCAGTCGCCTGTAATCCCAGCTACTCAGGAGGCTGAGGCAGGAGAATCGCTTGAACCTGGGAGACAGATGTTGCAGTGAGCCGAGATCACGCCATTGCACTCCAGCTTGGGCAACAAGAGCGAAACTCCATCTCAAAATAAATAAATAAATAAATAAATAAATAAAAGAATGTTGAAGGATTAAACAAAACAGGGACATTAAAGATCTTTGGCTATTGTGGGCCTGGCACGGTGGCTCACACCCGTAATCCCAGCACTTTGGGAGGCTGAGGCAGGTGGATCACCGGAGGTCAAGAGATCGAGGCCATCCTGGCCAATATGGTGAAACCCCATCTCTACTAAAAATACAAAAATTAGCTGAGCGTGGTGGCACGTGCCTGTAGTCCCAGCTACTCGGGAGACTGAGGCAGAAGAATCGCTTGGACCAGGGAGTCGGAGGTTGCAGTGAGCCAAGATCGTGCCACAGCACTCCAGCCTGGGCAACAGAGTGAGACTCCATTTAAAAAAAAGTCAACAATATTTAATAATTAATGATTATTACAAATTTTTATATTGTAATACAACAAGGCATCTGCACATATTGATCAATTGTACACTAGAGTTATGATCCTCAATGGGCTTATGGAATAATGATACAAAAACAAGCATTGGAATGACTATAATACATAATATAAACTGTTATGAGATTTTGGAGATGGGAGAGGTTACTTCTAAGAATGAAAAGTATCATAGCCAGTAATAGGAACTGTTCTCCATCAGTATTTTCAAGTTCCAAATTCATTATCCTTCTATGTAACCCATCTACTAAGTGCTACCAATAAATCATTCCCCAAATCTGCCTTCTCAGCTTGTAAACCTAATTGACTATTAAAACACCAACAGAAAAAAAATCAGAAAACAAATGTGAAATGATGCCACCAAAAGTTCATAGTTTTTATGAATGGAAATGAATGAATAAAATAGTAAATTTTATTGAATGAATGAATGAATGAATAAAAAAGTAAATTTCATAGATTTTATGAACTTTTGGTGACATCATTGGGACCCAGAATCACTAGTCAATTTTTATTTGGCTTCGCTCAATTCTTTCCTTCATTCTTTTGGGCATTGTTTTATTTTATTTTATTTTTTTGTAGAGACAGGATCTAGCTATGTCGATCAGGCTGGTCTCGAAGTCCTGGCCCCAAGTAATCCTTCCACCTTGGCCTCCCAATGTGCTGGGATTATGAGTGTGAGTCATCGTTTTGGGCAATTGCTTTGAAAGAACAACACTCTGTTCATATCCCTGTTCCTGTCTCCTACAGAAATCTCCATTACTCTCCACTTCTCTCAGCTCTTTTATTTCCTTGGGAAACTTGTAGTCAGCAAATGTGTAGTTCTACAACTTTTTATACCACCCCTCACCTACAGATATATATGCATCATATCTTCTGCCATCTACAGTAAAGGGCTTATATATTTAGTTATTTTAGAGACGGGGTCTCACTCTGTTGCCACACTGGAGTGCAATGGTGCAATCATATTATGCTAACTTCAGATTTGCGCCTCAGCCTCCCAATTAGCTGGGACTACAGGCATGTGCCACCATGCCTGGCTAATTTTTAAATAAAATTTGTAGAGTTGGGTCTCACTATGTTGCCCAGACTGGTTTTGAACTCCTGGCCTCAAGTGATTCTCCTTGAGGAAACAGTAAAGAGGACTTTGTCTTGCAACTTGGATACCAGTTCAGCCAAAGTAAAATAAAGCACCAAGCAGGCCCCCATTCCAGGACGTTGCTCCTGGATGTAATTTCTAGACTTACCCTGGGTCAGGAGAGAACCCACTGCCCTGAAGGAAAGAACCCAGTCCTGTCAGGATCCATCATATGCTGATTAAAGAGCCCCTGGGCCTTGAATAAACATCAACAGCAGCCAGGCAGCAGTTGTCGTGGGCCTTCGGCAAGATCTAGTGTCATACTGGTTTCAGGTGTGACCAGCACATTCCCAGCTACAGTGGCCTTGGCCATAGGCCTCCTTTCCTTTCTACTTTAGGAAAGGAGAGAGGAGTAAAAAGGATTTGACTTTCAGTAAAATTTGACTAAGCCAGTAATATTTGAATGAAGTCTATGCTACTTCATTTTTTATGTCTTATACTTTGAGATACACACCTGGTACTGTAATAGATGTTGAAGATACGTGTTGAGCAAGAGCCCTGATCCTGCCCTCACAGGGTTTACAGGCTGATTGGGTGAGAGACATTAATAATTATATTACTATAGAATGATCAACTGTAATAAATACTATGTAGGAAAAATATTGAATGGTAGGAAAAACTAAAAGGTCAGATTCAGTCTAAAGAATCAAAGAAAACTTGTGTTATTAGTTTGATTAGGGACTAACTTTCTAGTTATAGGGATAAAATCGGAGATAGTCATCTTGTTCTTCCACTGCAAAACATAAACACACTAAGCTTGAGGAGACAAAATACGCAGCAGTAGGGTTCTTACCAAATGTAATAGGAATGGCATAATGGACACTGTTGGGTCATGTTGATTCAGATGTCCCCAGGAGACAGTTATTTGGTCTGTTGTTTCCATAAGCCAGTTGAAAACAGACCTAATGTTGGACAAACTTCTAAGGAATTCAGGGAAGTGATTTCCCAGACACAACCCTTCCACCAAATATTTAAATTCTAATGAGTCCTCTTTGCCAGTGGACGTGGCCTTCCCACCATCATATAAGCAGCTTTTCCACCCCCCAGTGGTAGCAATTTCTGCACACTCAGTGACAGTGGCCTCTCCATCCCTGGTTGAGAGCATTAAGCCTGCATTGGCTGAGAAATTTATTACAGAATGGCCTCCCTTGAGACAGTGGCCATGCAGCAATGATTCTCCTTAGGGCCCGCCCCATGACCCTTTTACGCTTTTAGACCTTTCACTAAACTAAAGTACCAGCAGGCCCCTAAAGGTGAGGTACAAAGTGTGACTCATGAGAAAGTGTGCTGCACTCCAAAAGAACTAGTTGAATTTTCCAATTTACACAGGCAGAAATCTGGGGAAAAAATATGGAAATGGATATTGAGGGTATAGGATAATGATAGAAGGAAAATAAAGTGGAACCAGGCCAAACTTATTTATTTATGTATTTATTTATTTATTTTTGAGATAGGGTTTCACTATGTTGCCCAGGCTAGATTTGAACTTCTGAGTTCAAGAGATTCTCCTGCCTCAGCCTGGCACATAGCTAGAACTACAGGTGTGTGCCAAAATGCCCAGCTCCAAATTTATTGATATGGGCTGACTAAGCGGAGATTCTGCCTTTAAGGTTGCAGCTCAGGAAGTTTGGAGGGACTCCTAACTCTTGGGTTGGTGAACTGAAACATGGACCAAAAGGTGGCCTACCGTGAGTGAATTAGAAGTGCTGAGTCTGCCTTGATTTAATGTACAGGAAAGGATTCAAAGCTTAGGAAGACTAGAATGTTAGATAGGATTTGTGTTTTAAGACCTACTTATAGCCACACTGGGAGTGTCTAGAGGACATGCTTTTCACCACTACTATGAGAAATAAATCTGTGAGGTGGGGGAGGGGGAAGCACTTTAAAGAGTTCTGTGATCACTCTTACCTGTAGGCCAAGCTTTATAGTGAGGACTGTGGTCACTATATTGGATCAATGCAACAGGAGTAATTGCAATGGGAGTAATTCAATCCCAAGGTGGCAGGGGCCAAGTGGTGGCACTCAACCACCAAAAGCAAAATGCATATAATTATTGTAATGGACAGCAGAGTCAAAGCAGCAATCAGAACAGTGTGACTCACACAGACCTAAGGTGTTTGCTAGTTAATCCTGGTGTTCCTAGAAGTGAAATAGATAGGAAGCCTACTAATTCTTACATGACCTGTATAAGCAGAATATTTTTAGGTCAAATGGACAAAAATCTAACCTGGATTACATAAGCAGAGTTATGGTCCCTCAATCAATTCCCAGATGAGCTATTTGCAGACCCAGAACCCTCTGAATGAAAGGGAGATTGGATCCCCTTGAGGAACGCTTCTTGTACACTACCAAAAATGTTTACTGTTAATCTTTCTTGCAGCCTTTTCCAAAGGGACCTATGGCCTTTTAACAAGGTAATAGTGCATGGAGAAAAAGGAAGTAATCAGACCTCTCAGGGATTACTGAACACTGGCTCTGAAATGACAATAGTTCTAGAAAATCCAAAATATCACAGTGGTCCCCCTGTTAGAGTATCGCCTGATGGAGGTCAGGTGATCATAGAAGTTTTAGCAGATCCATCTTACACTGGGCCCAGTGGGTCTCTCAACCCATCCTGTGGTTATTTCCCAAACTCCAGAATGCATAATTGACATATATATTCTCCGCAGCTGGCAGAAAGCTCACATTAGTTCCCTGACTGTGGAGTGAGGGGTTATTATGTTGGGGAAGGCCAAGTGGAAGCCACTAGAACTGTGTTTACCTAGGAAAATAGTAAACAATAAACAGTATTCCATCCCTGGAAAGCTTGAAGATATTATTGCTACCACCAAGGACCTGAAAGGTGCAGGCGTGGTGACTTCTATCACATTCTCATTCAACTCACCTGTTTATCCTGTGTAGCAGACAGATGAATCTTGGAAAATTAGAGTGAATTATCACGAGCTTAACAAAGCAGTAGCTCCAATTGTAGCTGCTGTATCAGATGTGGTTTCATTGCTTGAGCAAATCAACACATCCCCTGGTACCTAGTATGCAGCTAATGATCTGACAAGTACTTTTTTCTTCATACCTGTAAATAAAGACCACCAGAAGCAATTTGCTTTTCGCTGGCAAGTCGATACCCTTTCACTCTCCTATATCAGGAGTATAGCAACTCTTCAGGCTTATTTCATAATTTAGTTTGCAGGGATCTGAATTGCCTTTCCCTTTCACAAGATATTACACTGGTCCATTACATTGATGACATTATGTTGATTGGACCTGGTGAGTAAGAAGTTGCAACTACTCTAGTCTTCTCTGTGTATCAGAGAATGGGAAGACATTTGAGTATCAGAGGATGGGAAATGATTCCAACAAAATTTCAGGGGCTTTCTGCATCAGTGAACATTTAAGGGGCCCAGTGATATGGGGCATGACAGGATAACTCCTTTAAGGTGAAGGATATGTTGTTGCATGTGGCTGCTTCCACAACGAGAAAAAGAGACAATGCCTAGTGGGCCTCTTTAGATTTTGGAGTTAACATACTACTCATTTGGGTGCGTCATTCCAACCCATATCAGGTGACTGTAAAAGCTGCTAATTTTGAGTGGGGCCCAGAGCAAGAGGGAGTTCTGCAGTAGGTCCAGGCTATTACTGTACAAGCTGCTCTGCTGCTTGAGCCATATGATACAGCAGATTAAAGTTCTTGAAGTGTCAGCGGCAGACAGACATGATACATGTGAATTTCAATACAGACCCTTAGGATTTTGGAAAAAGTCTTGCCATCCTCCACAGAAAATTACTCTCTCTCTCTTTTGTTTTTAGAAATGCTCTTGGCCTGTTATTGGGCCTTAGAGACAGAATGCTAAACCATGGGCCACCAAGTTACCACGGGACCTGAGCTGCTCATCATAAACTGGGGGTTATCTGATCTGCCAAGTGATAAAATTGGGTGTGCACAGCATCACTTCATCATGAAATGGAAGTGATATAGATTTTGATAGGCCTGAGCAGGCCCTGAAATCACAAGTAAGTTACATGAGTAAGTGACTCAATTGTCCGTGGTCTCTACTTCTGCTACATTGGCTTCTCTTTCCCAGCCTGCACCTATGGCCTCATAGGGAATTCCCTAGGATCAGCTAACAGAGGAATGGGACATTCAGGTCTGTTTTACAGATAGTTCTGCATGATATGCTGGCAGCACTTGAAAGTGGACAGCGGCAGCACTACAGCCCCTTTCTGGGACATCCCTGAAGGACAGTCGTGAAGAGAAATCCTCTCAGTGGGAAAAACTTTGAAAAGTGCACCTGGTTGTTTACTCTGCTTGGAAGGAGAAATAGCCAGCAATGGGATTATGTACCAACTCATGGACTATGGTAAATGGGTTAGCTGAATGGTCAGGGACCTGGAGGGAACATGTTTAGAAAATAGGTGACAAGAAAATCTTGCCGAGAGACATCAAAATGTGAAAGTATTTATGTCACATGTGAATGCTCACCAAAGGGTGACATCAGCAAAGAAGAGTTTTAATAATCAAGTAAATGAGATGTCCTCTTCTGTGGATACCAGTTAGCTCTTCCCCGCAACACTACTCAATGGGCTTATGAACAAAGTTGCCATGGTGGCAGGGATGGAGATTATGAATAAGCTTAGTAACATGGACTTTCATTCACCAAGGCTGACCTGATTGTGGCCATTGCTGAGTGCCTAATCTGTTAGCAGCAGAGACCAACAGAGTCCACCATTCACTGCTGGTGATCAGCCAGCTACCTGGTGCTAGGTTGATTATATTGGACCACTTCTGCCATGGAGGGAATATCATTTTGTTCTTACTGAAATAGACAGTGTAGATATGAATTTGCCTTCTCTGCATACAATGCGTCTGCAAAAACTACCATCCATAGATTTCTAGAATGCCTTATCCAGCATCATGGTATTAGACACAGGATTGCTTCTGATGCAGCTGGTTTGATAGAATGGTGGAATGGCCTTTTGAAGACTCAGCTACAGCACCAGCTATGTAACAATACCTTGCAGGGCTGAGGTGAAGTTCTCCATAAAACTGTATATGTCTGAATTATCTTCCAGCATATTGTGCTGCTTCTCCTATAGCCAGGATTTATGGGTCAGGAATGAAGGATGGAAATCAGAGTGGAACCACTCAGTATTACTCCTAGTGACCCATTAGCAAAATTTTTGCTTCCTGTTCCTACCACCTTATGCTTTGCTGACCTAGAGGTCTTAGTTCCAAAGGGAGGGATGCTTCCATTAGGAGACACAACATGATTCCATTGAGCTGGAAGTTAAGACTGCTATCCAGCAACTTTGGACTCCTCATGCCTCTGAATCAACAGGAAAATAAGGGATTTACTGTGCTGGCAGGGGTGAGTGATCCTGACTACCAGTGGGAAATTGAACTGCTACTCCACAATGGAGGTAAGGAAGAGGATTCCTGGAACACAGGAGATCCCTAAGGTTGATTAAGATCAATGGAAAATGACAACAACCCAATCTAGACAGGACTGCTAACAGCCTAAGTCATTCAGGAATACAGGTTTGGGTCATCTACCAGATAAAGGACCACACGCAGCTGAGGTGTTTGCTGAAGGCCAAGGAAATACAGAATGAGTAGTGGGAGAAGATAGTTATAAATAGCAGCTCGGACCATGTGACCAGTTATGGAAATTAGGAGTATTTCCTCCTTAGCTTGTTCTGAATATGTGTGTGTGTGTGTGTGCATAGATAGATAAATGATAGATGATAGATAGATAGATAGATAGATAGATAGATAGATACATAGATTTACCATAAGAAATTGACTCATACAATTATGGAAGCTGAGACGTCTAAGATCTGCTGCCAGCAGGCTGTATACGTCCCTTTGTTTTCTTTCCTTTCCTGTTCCCTTTTCATGTAACATAACATGTATTGACTTTATATCATATAATTTGTTTATTTATTTATTTATTTATTTTGAGACAGAGTTTCACTCTTGTTGCCCAGGCTGGAGTGCAATGGTGCCATCTCAGCTCACTGAAACCTCTGTCTCCTGGGTTCAAGTGATTCTCCTGCCTCAACCTCCTGAATAGCTGGAATTACAGGCATGTGTCACCATGCCCGGCTAATTTTGTATTTTTACTAGCGATGGGGTTTCACCATGTTGGCCACGCTGATCTCAAACTCCTGACCTCAAGTGATCTGCCTGCCTCAGCCTCCCAAGTGCTGGGATTACAGGTGGGAGCCACCATGCCCAGCTATATCATAGTATTTAAGTATTGTTAATTTTACATCTCAGTACTTAAGTTATAGGATATCAAGGATAAGAGTAAACACCCCTTAAGGACTTTGCCTCCTCTTCTGGGGAAGGGGTTGGTGCATTTTCAGTTCTGTGCAGGGTAGTTTTATCACGTTAGATGTTATTTTCTTTATTTGGAGATAAAATATGTTTAAGAAGATGCATATGAGTGCCAAACTGGCGAGGAGTAGATTTGTGATGGTTAAACTTTTGTGTCAACTTGACTGGGCCAAGGGGTACCCAGAAAAATCATAATTTCTGGGTGTGTCTGTGAGGGTGTTTCTGGATGAAATTAACATTTGAACTAGTAAACTGAGTAAAGCAGATTGCCCTTCCCAATGTGGTTGGGCCTCATCCAAATCTGCTGAAAGACCTGAGTAGAATAAAAGGCTGAGTAAGAAAGAATTCTTTCTCTCTGTCTTTGAATGGGGACATTGGTCTATTTCTGTTTTCGAACTCACACGGAAACTTATGCATCAGCTGTCTTGGTCCTCAGGCCTTCAAAATCAGACAGGAACTTACATCATCTGCTCACCTGGTTTTCAGGCCTTCAAACTTGACCTGGAACTATACCATCGGCTCTCCAGAGTCTCTAGCTTGCTGACTGCAAATTTTGGACTTCTCAGCCTCCGTAATTATGTGAGCCAACTCCTATGGCAAATTTATCTATCTGGATGTCTGTGTATCTATCCATCTACCTATCTATCTATTTATCTGTCTATCAATCAATCACCTACCTATCTCCTATGGCTTCTGTTTCTCTAGAGAACCCAGACTAATACAGATTTGAAAGGAAAAAAATGGATCTTAGTATATCCAGATTTTCTAAAACATGATCCTTTATGTTGATAGAAATTGTGTGCTTTTTTTGACATAAGATGCAGAGGAATAATAGTATCAGGATATTTTTTAAAAACTGCAAACAGACCAGTTTCTGTTTCCTACAGGAACTACTTTGTAGATCCTTTTAGAACAGCCTGAGTGAGATATTGGGGGTGTTGAATGGTAGAAAGCATTGATTTGGGTTGATATCAAATATATTTTTTTAAACAGGGGAACCTTCTCTTCCATCCCACTACACTACTACACTCTGCATAAAGTCACCTTTTGTGGAGGACAAAGGTCTCTGCAAAATATTTTGAGGGAAAAGATAAGAAGGGTATATTTGTATTGGATATAGATCTTCTACCTATATATCTGTATAGGTTGAAGAAAAGAAAAGAATAAAATACTTTAAATATAGATTTTGCTGTTACAGACCGGAAATGATGAATGCAGAAAGCTGAGGATCCAAAGCTGTCAGAAAAATCTGACTTAGCCTCATTAGATATTTAAGAAATAAAACATAAATAGATCACAGCAGAAAGGCTTTCATTTCTGAGGGACTGCTAGGCACAGATTTTGTGCATCTTCTCTGTTAACTGGGTCATCATTGATTAAAGAGTTTTTCTAGTGCACTTGGCATACTCATTCAGTATTAAACTGAACTCAATTCAACTGAACTCATGGGGCTCCAGCAGAGGGCGTGATTCACAAATGCTGGAGCAGGGGACTCTAGCAGAATATGTCTAGAAAAGCAAAGATGGATCTGGAATTTCCAGACTATTTCAACCTTTTCCTTTAGCAGCGTGCTATATTCAGGTAATCAGTAATTCAAGCTAATATGAAAGAACAATGAGAAGCAGTAAGCTGTATTTTTGGAGAGATATTAATTATTGTATAAAATATTTTAAAATATTCACTGGAATGGGGTTTTAAAAATAAATTGCGTTTTTCTTTAAAATGCATGGAATGTGTCTTCTTTTATCAACATTAGCTGCCTTATTGATATTGAGTCCAGAAGCTGAGGGAAGAAAAATAAACATTTTTTAAAAATGCCAAGTTTACAGCATATCTTAGGGAAGAAAAGTGACTGTAGTGAGCAAGTATCTATAGCTTGATAAGAGTTTTTAATAATGAATTCTAAACATCAGTAAATAAAACACCATTGAATAATAATGAACTTTGCTCCTTAGGTAAGTGTCTTAAAATACATATTTTGCACTTAAAACATCCAGATGTCAAAAATATTCAGGGACTATAGGGAAACTGATTGAGATGTTTAGGAATTAACCCCCATCATCAAGACCGCTTGGCCCCTTCTGATCTCAGAACAGCTTTCATAAAAATATTCTACTGTGAGTGCATGTCAGGGGTCTTCATGTCCAAGATAGGTTGAACTTCACGATGACTAGAATAAAACATTTCCCATAAGCGCTTCCTCTCTCCCATCTCCTGACTCAAGACCCCAACATTTGGTCTTGATGTTTCTGAGGACTATGGGTTTGAGTTGTTAGTTTTAACCTATAAGTATTTGGCCTTCAGCCCTGACTCTCTCCTACTGTGCATAGGAAGGAAACCAAAAACATTCAGCTCACATTGAGCAGTAATGCTTAACATATTAAAGGCAAAGTGATACTTTTAATGGTAATTTTTGATAATGTTATTGATGGTAGCGATGATGATGATGAAGGACAACTCTAACAAATAGAAAAAAAAAAAGAACAGAAGAGAGCATAAAAAGTACCCAATAGAATGGCAATAGGCTAGATATGTTTGAACTGAGACCCTAGACCTCAATGAAAACAGAATAATTTCAATCTCAATTACATCTATCAATGTATCTAGTTCCTGGGATTTTTTTCTTCCCTGGGAGAAGACACACTTTCAAATTCCACTTTATGAGAGTACTAAACAATTGCAGAGGCAGCAGCTCTGAGCATTCCTTTGAAGTATGTACTAAAGAGGCATTTCAAGCACTGCTAAGAGTATGCTGCACCATCATTAAAAGCCAACATTAAAATTCAGAAATCAAAGGCATGTTTACACCAGGCTAAACCATTTTTTTCTTACACATTAAAAGAACATCAAGCTATCCAAAATGATTTAGTGAAAAAGTTCTTTTTTTTCTTGTTTACCCATCAACTAAGAAAGCACTGGGCCAATGTTATTCTAGTTATCTCAGCATTTTTAGCATTCTCTTTGTATAAATTTTTTAAAAGGGCAAACTTCACATATACAATATCATACTTGGTATAAGAAATAGACTATTTGAGGAAACCAAAATTATACTTAAAACATACTAGGAAGAAAATAATGGTTATTGCTCTCCAAGATAGAATGGAATATGAGGTGCACTGATTTCTAATTCCAAACTGAATCCCATTTTTCCCTATGGCCTTAAGTTTTAATTGCCATTAGATTTCTCTATCCTACTTTTTCATATTTTATAAAGAGTTCTTGTAAATGACATGCTGTGGTGGCTGTGGAAATGTCCTGCTCAGATCTTCATAAAAACCTCCTGTGGGAGGGTAGTTGATCAACAATTTCTAGCTGCTCCCCTCCTGAGCACTGAGGCCACACATCCTATAAGCTGCTCCCAGACAATGGTCAAGCACAGCAGGGTAGAACCAGTCCATGCCTGCTCAAAGTGACGCCTCCTCTAATGAACGCATTTTCTTTGAAGCGCCCTCCACCACCTTAGTGTGCCCAAGAGTTTTTCAGAACAGTTCTGCAGTCTGAAGGAGTCCTTCCTTCCCAGTCCTTCCTTTTCTTTTCATTCTTTCTTCACAGTCATGATGTTTCCATCTCGGTCTGAAGGCTCTTCCTTCAAAGGCAATACACCCGCAAATCCCTTGGACATCCAATCCTGTCCTGGTGTCTACTCAGAGGACCCAAACTGACACAGAGAGTGGTCTGAGAAAACAGGTGACAAGAAGGGGGTTGTGGGGACTGGATCATTCCCTCTCCAGTTGGCAAATAAAGTACCATACTGGACTTAGCAAGATGTCTGGCTTTTGAACAGAAATCTTCATATCACCAGCGATGAGAGAGAATTAAATATGGGCGATGATGAGAAGGGCAAGAAGATTTTTGTTCAGAAGTTCTTCCTGGTTTAGTCTTGGGAGGGTGTATGTGTCCAGGAATTTATCCATTTCTTCTAGATTTTCTAGTTTATTTCCTTGGAGGTGTTTATAGTATTCTCTGATGGTAGTTTGTATTTCTGTGGTATGTCTTGTGACTTTTTTTATGTGTGCCATGATTTAATAGATCTCATACATCAGAATTCTGATCATGAATGACTGACAGAATATTTTTCTTGGGCAGTCCTGACTTAACTAAGACTGGCTTGTGGTTAAATTAATATGTTTGGTTTTTTGAACGTTAATAGTAATTCTGATTCAGTAAATGCTATCGCTGTTTTCGTCTTCTGAAGATATGACTGGACTTTGTTAATAATGTTCAACTTTCCACAAAGACGGTGCATGCCATCTTAAAATCTATTAGAGATTGGTTTTATATTCAGATGTATATACTTGTTATATGACTATATTTAAATACTGGGGAAATCCCCCCTTTTTCTCAGAACCAAGCAAGACTCATTTGTGTTTTGTGTTATTTGCCTCCTAAAGGCTGGGCTGAAGATAAGGTGGCAAAGTCTACTTTATCTTTTTGGTTTTAACTATACCAACCTAATTAGAATTTCCTGTATCTAAAATGGTTCCTTGGCCAGGTGTGGTGGCTCATGCCTGTAGTCCTAGCAGTTTGGGAGTCCAAAGTGGGTGGATCATTTGAGGTCAGGAGTTCAAGATCAACCTGGCCAATATGGTGAAACCTCATCTCTACTAAAAACACAAAAATTAGCCAAGTGTGTTAGCACATGCCTGTAATCCCAGCTACTCAACAGGCTGAGGCAGGAGAATCGCTTGAACCCAGGAGGTGGAGGTTGCAGTGAGCCGAGATCGCACACCACTGACCTCCAGCCTGGGCAACAGAACAAGACTCTGTCTGGAAAAAAAAAAAAAGTTTCTCGTACTTATTGAAAGGCATTTTAGTGTGGTGTGTGTGTAATATCAAATAAAGAATATTTAACACTTGAAAAGGAAATACATCATCTGAAACGCAAAGCATAGATAATTTCTGAATAAGGTGGCAGCCCAATTGCTGCTGATTTCAGGAGTGATGACTTAGGAGAAGTCCCCAGGGAGAGGAATGTCCTTGGTGTGAGGATCAAGGCATTTGAAAGACACAGAGTGCACAATGCCTGTAAGGACAGCAGAACTGACTATTTACTACTAAGTTGAAGTGTTGCTTTATAGAGGTATAACGATAAATGATAAGGAAGTTGACAAATTCGTAAAGTTAGCTGTGATAGCCAGAGGCCCTTTGTGGTAGTTTAGGAAGAAGCCCTTACTCCCTGCAATGGAAGAGCTGATAGTTGCTGAGAAGCAGACCCGGGGTTTCATAGTGAGAACTACAGAGGCTCCAGAGACATTTTAACGTTCAGCAAAGACAGTACAGGTTTCCCTTAAGGTTAGGGCTGTGGTTAGGATCTCTGGAACCCTACCAGATAGAATTGGAACACCTGAGTCAACGCTGACCGGGATGGCTTTAAAACCCCTGAGGTCCTCTCATAATCCAGGAAAGTCTTTCTTGAGGACTTAGAAGCCACTCTTTTGACATGTAATTTCGAGGAAAGATAGTGCACCTATCTTTCAGTTTCTGTGTGCGAATGGGAGCCTAACTTTTATGGGCACCAATTAGCAAACATGGATGGCCTAATAATTGAGAAAAAACATTTGCAAACTCAGGATTAGCACATCCCACTGATCAACCGCCCAACCCCCACCCCATGTCCTCCAGCACTTTTCCAGTAGATCATCCCAGTTCTGAAAATTCCTCCTTCTCTTTGTTTCAATAGAGTTGACTTCAGACGACCTCTCTCTTCTGTTTTAGCAGCTTTGAATAATGTCTTCTTTGCCTTCCAGTGCAATTTTTACTTTGACCATATCCCTGAGAATTGTGGCTTTTCAGACCCCTCTGACCCTCAGAATTTGCAAAAGGGAGAAGGCTGTCCCTCCCTAGTAAGAGCTAGTACTGCTCCCCCACAGGAAAAAGCTACAGAGCAGCCTCTCCTTTGCAAGACGACAGGTGACCTTCTCAAGAGTTGCCCCTCCTGCCTATCCTGATTATAAAGCTGAAAACTGTGACTGAATTCTAGCACAATCTAACTGGAGACATGCTGGGCTGATAAGGGAGAAATGAGTTTATAAACTGAAGGAGTTTCAGGTATATGCTACAATGTACAAACAGTAGCCAAGGGATCACCCCTGGGGTTAGGTTTGAGGGTGCTTGATCACGGAAGCCAGAGTGAAAGACTGAATAAGAACAATGGACTTGGCAGCACTTTTTTTGAGACATTTTATTTTATACCCTGGTAAGGACCCCAGAATACAGAACAAACTTTCTGCTAAGAGTGGCTCTTAAAAGCCAGGAATAAGTGATGGCCCTGGCCGAGCAAAGTGGAAATGCCTGGGTTGCCTGGCAGAAGCAAAAGGCTCAGGAATGTGGGCCTGATGGAATGCATGGCATGTAGGGCCAGAAGCCCCATTAAATGTTATGCTTCATGGGAGGTCACAGGGAGTCCTTCAGCCAACAGGAATCAATTGGTGAGGGCAGCAGCATCCATAAGTTCAGTGGCAGCTCATCTCAGAATGACGGGCAGTTGGATGGAGAGGGGCTCCCAGAACAGGTCTGATTAGTATTCATGAGCATGATGAGACCCTGAATAATTGAGGCTAAGTGGCAGGGCTTAACAGACAAAAGCAGGGGACACACAAGATTGGAGTAGTCAAGGGGGCTTGACCTTCAGGGAGTTATGGAGGTTGTTAATACAATATGGCATCACTAGGGGCAAAATAGATGGGTAGCTAATGAGTGAGCTGCTTGACATCTGCAATCAGAAATAAGCTAGAATGAAGAAGCGGGAGGCTGAGGCCAGTTGCCACAAATAAAGTTACAATGCTTTGCCTAGTTCTCACGCCTAAATTAATTTTGAGTTTCAGGATTCATTTACTAAAGGGATGACCATGTGCCCATAAAGGAACAAGTCTCCAATACAAAGCATGTATATACTGTAATGATTCCCCAAGTCTTTTCTCAAAGGGACTTCTAGTTATTTACTCATGTGACCATCTACTAGGAAAAAAGAAGTACTCAGAGGAATGTTGAACAGATTTCTGAGTTGACGTTGATACCTGGTGACTCAGTGAATCATCATGGCGCTCTAGTTAGGGTGGAGATTTACAGGAGCCACGTAATAAGTGGAGTCTGCTAAAGCCTGGCCTAGAGTGGATTCACTGTGTTCACAGACATATCTGGTGGTCATTTCCTGGTCTTCAATATGCAATTGGTATTTTACCTGGCATTTGGCATATTCCCCATGTTTGGTCTTTGGACTTCTTGGAAAGACCAAGTGGAAACCTCTGAAATTATTCTTCCCTCCTACCTGTACCAAGATAGTAAATCAGTGTATCTCTGGGGGACAGGGAGGAAAGGTAGAATAAACATGCCATTCAAGAGCTAAAGGTTGCAGGGATGTATGGCCCTAGCATATCTCTGCTTAACTTACCATTCTTCCCCATGGGTGAAATAAATGGATCCTGGAGAATAAATATAGACTATAGATACTGTAAGCTCAGCCAAGTAATAGTTCTTGTTGTAGCTACTATACCATGGGTGGTATTATTGCTAGAGCCGATATTAAGGCTTCAGGTAATGTAGTATGCAGATGTGGATTTTGCAAATGCATAATTTAAAAAAATTCTGATCAGAAAAAATCACGGAAATTTTCATATATGTGGAATGGACAGCAATATTGACTTACAGTTTTACCCTAGGACTATATTAACTCTTTCAACCCTTTGTCATAATATATTTAAAATGGATCTCAACCATCTGGACACTTCATAGGCTATTACATTGATTTGTTGATTTATTGTGATTTATTTATTTATTTTATTGATGACACTATGCTGATTTAGACAGTTCAAGAAACAGTGGCTAGTATTTTGGAAGCCTTGCAAAGACACATTTCTGAAAACTGCAATTTCAGTCAGGTTTTTTGGGGTCCAGTGATCAGGGGCATTTGAGGTATCCCCTGCAAAGTAAAGGTCAAATTTATGTATCTTCTTGCCCTTATCACAGAAAAGGAAGCACCACACCTGAAAGACCTTTTTGGATCGTGGCTGGAACACATTTTGAACTTAACAATATTGTCTAGCCCTTAAGTCCAGTGATATGAAAGGATGATAGCTTTAAATGAGTTCTAGAATAGAAAAGGGCTCTGCAGCTGGTTGAGGATGTGGGTCAAGCAGCCCTACCACTTGGATCATGTAATCTCTCCGGCTCTAAATTGTTGTAAACGTCAGTAGTGGGAGAAGATGGAATGTAAGTTTATGGTAAACCCCAGTGTGAGAATCTTAGTGTATCCTACTGGGATTCTGAAGCAAGGCCATAACATCTGCAGTGGGGAATTATACTCCATTTTAGAATCACCTTTTGGCATGACAGTTGGCCCTTGTACAGATGAAACACTTGACCATGGGGCACCAAGTAAGCATGTTCCCGGAACTGCCCATAATGAGCTGGCTCTCTTAGATCTACGTGTCATAAAGTCAGCAGGCTCAGCAGCAGTCCATCACAAGTTAAAAGTACTACATTGGAGATCAAGTTTAAGCAACAACAAGGGCACAGGCAGGCTGTATGAGCAGGTGGCCTAGACCCACATGTCACTCAGGATGGTTGTACCAGTGCTCTTTACTTGGTGCATTTTCTAAGACCAGCTGAAGAAAAAGAAAAATACCCATGCTTGATTTATAGACAGGCAGTCTCAGTATTTGAGCTCAAATTGAAAATGGATGACAGAGGACTGTAGCATTACTTGATAATCAGTAGAGAGAAAACATCTTCCCAACACGTGGAGGTGAAAATGAAGAACCTGGTCATCCAGTCTGAGGAAGGAGAAATGGCCTGAGGGGACAATATATACAGATTTCTGGACATTTACTAATGGCCTTGATGGCTGGTGAGGGGCCTGGGGGGAAAAGACTGGAGGATCAGAGACAAGAAGGTCTATGATAGAGTATGGGCGGACACATGGGAACGGGTACAGAGTGTGAAGATTTTTGCATCTTAAGTTAATACCTAAGAAAGCATATATGAAAGAAGATATAGTGAACAATGAAGTAGTCAAAATGATTTGGTTAGATGAAGTTAGCCACCTTTGTCAATGACCTCTCCAGAAGTAGGATAATGGGCACATACATGAAATGGCCCAGTCATAATACTGGTATTTCTTGATCATGATCAAAGATTAGATTATGCTTATGCTTATTGGTTTGCCTCGTAATTGTCCTCCATACCTTTCTATTGTGCTTAAAAATCTAAAAACTAAGAATTATGACAATTATATGAACAAATTATGAGGTTCAGAAAAAAATTGGAAATACCAGAAATTATAGAACTGGACAGGGTTCTAGCAGAAGCACAATACATTGCCCAGAAAGTGAGCTTATTTTATTGGTTACTTGTATTTAGAGTCAGATATTGACTCAGATTGAGTATTAAAATTTAGTTTTAAATATTGGCTAATTATAGTGATTTTTTGAGAAATTATGTATAAATGGGCAACAAGCTAGAAAACAGAAAGATTTTATTTAAAGAATGCAATAGTGTTGTCAGTTTTGTTAGATCTGTGGGGAACACTGTGGATGATGTAGTCCAGCTCTTTAACTTGGGAAACCTGAGGCCTTAAGGATACCCGCCCAGTGTTGTAGCACTAATTAGTGTCAAAATTATGGTTTAGAGCCCAATTCTCCTGACTAAATATTCTGTATTTTTAAAAACTAAGTCATATAGTCTCTTGTACATAGAATAACCTTACTTGAAAATACTGTGGCTACCCACATAAATCCCTATACCTTGAAATAACTGATCTATTCATTTAAGTTATCTTAATGAGGTGGCCTTGAATAAATCTTGTGTTTTGTTCTTTCAAAACAAAAGTGAAAATGGAATTGAGATAGTAGTTGTAATTTTAAAAAGTGTGACAAGTGATAGCAGGTTAAAAATTCCCAAATTAATCCATGTAGCAAAACTGCATTTGGACCCTCTAAATCTATGAAAATAAAAAAAATTACAAAATTCTCAAATTAGTAAATTGTCTCAGCTATTTGTTCACAGATTTGAGAGTGAACATCTTTTGGAAGGTGTTAATTAACCTATTCCACCACTGGCCAATCTTTTTGATTGTTTACCTTCTGGAGAAGAGGTTACAGATTTTACCGACCTTATTTTCATCTTGTATTTCAATTCATTGTAAATTTACAATTGATTTCAATTCATTGTAAATTTACAATTTCAATATGCTTTTGGTCAGGTTAGTGACAACTCACTTTCAAGGTTATTTCCACTTCAGGGGTGTGTGTGTGTGTGTGTGTGTGTTGGAGGTGGCAAGTGGTTGGGAAGTTAAGAATGTGACCAACTTGGTCTTAACATTTCCCTCAGCTTGACCACACTCATGACAGTGACAGGCTTCTTCTTCTTCTTTCTTCTTTCCTCCTTCTCCTTCTTCTTCCTCCTCCTCCTCCTCTTCCTTCTCTCTCCTCCTCCACTTTTCCTCCTCCTCCTCCTTTTTAAAATCAGGAATACTTTTGCAGAAAATATAGATAGGCTTCTAGACTCAAAGCCTGCCTTAAGACAGTTTTATAGACCAGGATGGTCTTTCTCAAGGATGATGCAGCCGTCCCTTTAAAATGCAGTCATCAAGGAAGATAGTGTCCCTATCTCCTAGTCTCTTGCTGGAGAGAGAGAACTTCAATGGGTTCCTTGCTCCCAGTTGTAAATTCCTATCATGTCATGAAGATAATGACAAATGTATTTGGAGTGGGAGAGGAGAAGGAAGAGGATTTACTTAGGCATTGAATTTAAGTATTTAAGTCTTCATTCTTCCCTCCTTCTCTTCCCTTAGCCAATTACGTCTACTTATTCCCCTGTGAGGTAACCTATCCTTTCTTTTGTGATAATCATGCCCTGAATTTTCATAGTTATTAGAATCACACTATATTTTTTGTCCACATATATATAAAACTTATTCATATTGACGTGTATAGCTCTTGTTTGTTCATTTTTGTTGTTTCATGTTATTCTGTTGCATTAATATACTGTAAAATATTTACCTATTTTATTGTTGATGTTTGGGTTGTTTTGAGTTTGTGGCTATAAAGAATGACACCAATATAAATATGATTGCAAGGATGATATCAAAAATATTTAATGATGGGTAAGGCAAGGTCACATACCAATCATAAGTTGCCAAACCCATCTGTGTGGAAGCTTGGACGTGTCTCCTGGTGCACATTTTCAAAAATTTTTCTGATATCTGTATCTAGGAATGAAATTATTCAATTATAAGGCACTTACTTTGTAAAGGCATTTAACTGTACAAGGTAATTTCAAGCTATTTTAAAAAATGGTTGTACCAATTTATGCTTATATCATTTTATGCTTACATGAGAATTGTTAATACATTGCCAACGTCTGAGTTCCCTAGAATATATTTTTACCAATGTAATGTGCATATGATGTCTCATTGTAGTTTAAACTGGAATTAACCAGAAACTAATGAGGCTGGGCATCCATGCACGCTTATTAATCATTTGAATTTCTTTGTCCTCTGATTTATTTATGTATTCTTGACAGTAGTCCTTTTAAAATTGCTTTAGATAACAAATATCTTTCTGAATTTTGTGGCATTTCTTGTCAATATTTTTATAATTTATGAGAAACAGAAGTCTTTATTTTTATGTAGTTGCATTTATCAGGTTTGCCTTTTGATTAGTATTTTTCTGTCTTAAGAATTTTTTATAACTCGAGTTTATAAAATTTTTTCTATATTATCCTCTAAATGTTTTATAAATTTGACTTTCACATTGAAGTTTTAAAATTAAATGCAATTTATTTTTGCTAATTGTGTGAAGTAAGATCCAGTTTTATCTTTTCAAGCAGTTAATTGACCCACACTATTCATTAAAATTTCATGATTTTATCGCAGATCTATTTTGCCTCCTGTGTTATATATATTTGTGTGTTAGTCTGCTGGTCTCACTATTTTGTTCTGTTGTTCAATTTATCTATCCTGTGTCAGTACTATACTCTTTTAACTTTGGTCCTTTTTTTTTTTATTCCTTAGGATTGTCTAGAGTGTAACTTGTGTACTTTTATGAGTCTTGATAACTATTAGAAAATAGTTTTCAATCTTGTTCTTCCTCTTCAAGTATGCTTTGACTTTCTTGGCATTTTGTGCATCAACATAAATTTGTAATCTTCTTGTGAAATTTCACATATATTTAAGAATGTGGTTGCATTGGGCTGGGCGCAGTGGCTCACGCCTGTAATCCCAGCACTTTGGGAGGCTGAGGCAGGCGGATCACGAGGTCAAGAGTTCGAAACCAGCCTGACCAACATAGTGAAATCCCAACTCTACTAAAATACAAAAATTAGCCGGGCGTAGTGGCGTGCACCTGTAATCCCAGCTCCTTGGGAGGCTGGCGCAGGAGAATCGCTTGAACCCGGGAGGCGGAGTTTGCAGTGAGCCGAGATCGCACCACTACATTCCAGCTTAGCCGACAGTGCGAGACTCCGTCTCAAAAAAAAAAAAAAAAAAAAAAAAAAAAAAGAAAAGAAACAAAAAATGTGGTTGCATTTGTGATTTGGGAAGAGTTGAGTACCACTACAATATTCAACTTTTTCAATCAATGAACATGGTGTTCAGGTCTTGTTTAATGTATTATCTTAAAAACATTCTTTGTAGAGGTCTTGAACCTCTTTGTTAATTTATTCCTAAGCATTTGATACCTTTGATGATAATAAAAATTATGTTTTAACAATTTCATTTGCATCTAGTAGAATTGACAAATTCACTTGTATATTCTAAAGAAAATTGTTGAGTGCTTGGATTTTCTAGGCATAAAGACATATAATCTACAAATAATTATAATTTTCTTTTCCTTTCTACTTCTTGTTCAATTATTTGTATTTTTTTCCTTGCCTTGATACATGACTGGGATCTTTGATACAATATTAAATAGAAATGATACAATAGGCATACTTGTTTTGTTTCTGGTCTCAAAAGAAAAGCCATTCACCAAGTTTTATACATAGATACAATTCATTAGATTTAAAGAGTACCATTCCATTCCAAGTGTGCTATAATGTTTTTATTATGAATGAATTTTTAATTTCTTCAAATATATCACAGTACCTTATCATTCTTTTACTTTAGCATATTAATGTGGTAGATTTCATTAATTCATTTCCCAATATTAAAATACTCTTATGTAAATAGTATAATTTAACTTGATCATGATTCTTATCATTTTTATACATTGCTGGATTGGTTTTTTTCATTATCAGGTAGATATCTTGACATCCATGAAAATTTCTCATATCTGATTATGGTAACTTGGTTTTCTCTTTTGATTGGCATGGATTTTTTCATTTTATTAATCTTTTCAAATAATCAAATTTTGGAAGATTGTTTTCTTATAAATAATCCATGAAATTCTTCCTTCATTTCATAAATAATAAAATAAAAAATATAATACAAAAAAAGTAAAAATATCAAAATGAAAAAACATTTTTTTGGAGTTGTTATACAGGAAGAAAAGATTTCAAAATTTTTGCAATTATACTTTCATCATTATCTTTTAATAGATAACTATTTTGTCTCAATCTTCAAGATCTTTAGACTGTAGTTTGAGGCATTTTCAGCTTTTAATACCTAGAAAATAAATAGTCAAAAAGCCAAACTTTTAAACCATTCATCTATTTATAACTCTTTAGATCTGGCATTATCTTAAAAAAAACTCCAATATATACTTCACCTAAGAATGCCCTTAAAAGTTTACCAGAAGTATATTACATAAAATTTGATCAATCAGTGTGATACATTCCTAAATTTAATTATTGCAGAGAGATGAATAGATAAAAAATAAAAATTTAAACCAACTAGTTGTTTACACTGTTTTAAGGTTAAAAAATGATAGGTAACTTACTTGCTATAGCAAGAGAGTATCAAAGAATATAGTAAACATGTAAGCCCCCTCGGACATGCCCTAACTGACCAAAAAGGGTAAATCCAAGCATTAATATGAATAATAGCTTCAAAGAATTAAAACATATCAAATATGTTTCAATCTTTGGTTTTATAATGACACTAAAAATAAAAAGAAAAAGGAATTGGTTATTTTTGGGGGGTGGTAGGGAACTATCTGTTATTTTGAAATACGGTAAACAGATAAAGGGAAATTGTCCAGCTCTCTCTGCCTTTATCCGAGATTTCTTGTACAGACTGTAACACGGGGTAACCAAATATTGACTCAAAAGAAGTTTATATTTTTCTAAATATTTCAAGAAGAAATAATGATTGATATATAATATTATCATTTTGCAACATTTAATTAATTAATAAATATATTCCAGGGATTGAGCATCAGTGGCCACAAGCGGGACAAAGTAAGAGACCACCAGACATATGTGCCTCCCAGTCCAAGAATACAAGACCGACTTGTGACAAAGAAATTGGACATGATTTGGACCAAGCATATTGAAAAAATACCAATGTACAAGTAACACAGAGGCAGAGAAACTTGTTAACTACCCTGTAGTATGCAATGAGCAAAACCCAGTTTGCGAGGAATCCTACAGGTGCAAAGACCAAGTTTTTTTCTTTTCTTTTTTTTTTTTTTTTAAAGGCGATTCACTGAAAAAGAAGGGAGGCGGAGGAGAATACGTAAATTAAAAGAAGCTTAGAAAAATATTAAAAATAGAACAGGACAACTACACTAGTGTTTTGTGGGCTCTGTGAGTGATAAATCAAGAAATTATTATCATTAAATCAGGATAGTGTTACATTTAGAAGGGTGGGAACGAGTTGTGATAGGGATGAGTTGAATGCAAGACTTATGAGATGGCTGGCAAATTTCAATTTTTTGGCCTGGATGGTGGTTATAAGAATGTCTGACATACAATCATTTATGAAGCTATGCATTTGTTTAATTCTGTTTTCTGTATCTCTGCTATATTTGAAATACAAATTTAAAACTGGGCTAGTGAATATATTTACGATACAATTTTCAGAGATGTCCTGAAAAGTTTTATCTTTATATTAAGGATGAATTTATCAAGTTGATAAACACAAGAAGTCAAAGGTGATATTTTCAGTATTTATTAGTAAGGCTGAGGCAACAGCCTTTATACGGCACAGTTTACATAAGTTATCAAGATACATCTTGTATACAATCACAAAACCAAGACATATTTTTACATAGAGTAAAACTCAAGACGGATTTACAAGCATTTTTTTTTAAATGCAACTCTCATGTATTTTCAGGTCAATTTATACAGTCCTTAGTCCAAGAATTTGCATTTGTCCATTAGATTTTCCAAAGGGATTTGGGTAAAACAAACAAACAAAAAAACACATTAGCAAATCACCAACATGGCATGCAACATATAGTTAGAAACAAGACATATCTTCAAGTACTTTAGTTTTTATTTCAAAATCAGTTTTATTAAGATGTTTATGTTTTCAGACAAGAAAATTTTTTCTTAAACCTCATATGTGTTTTTAGGATATTAGCACACACATTAATCAGTAGTGGGAGCACCTGAGCACGTCACCAAACAAATATACAGACACAATCAAACAATAATCATATTCACATGCTAAATGCCAAATGAAATTAATATTTCAACTTCGTCTACTTTACCAAGTGTATACTTATGTACAAGGTAATGCATTAAGAAAATGCTCTCAATCTACCTATCAGATAAAGAATTTGATTAAATAATTTTGGCCTAATGGATACCTTTAATAATAGAACATGAAACATACAGAAAACAGCATTGTATCATATTCAATGAGAATATTTGTTTCACTCATTCATTACTGTATTACACCCAAGGCAAGTAATTATTAAATAAATAGCTCATAATTATTCATTGAGTCTTCTTTCACTTTCATGTCAAGCTCAAAAAGAGGGAAGGAAGATCACTTCTGTCACACATAACACATATATAGCTGTAGTTGGCTGATTTTGGAATATTTGACATTGTAGCAATGAAAATAAGTTTTTAAAAATATTGTTAGTTATGATTTAAATAATAAAGTAAAAAAATACTATAAACATCTTTATGATATTTTAATGAAATGAAGCATTGATCAAATAATTTCTAATAAATTGGGCACAATATAATATATACTTTTATTTTACTTCACATCACCACCACCGCTAATATCACTACTGCTACCACCACTATCATTACAGTCATTCCTATAATAAGAATCAATATCAGCTGGTTACCAGCTATAATATTCCCACAATATGACTATTTAAATGTGTGTGATCCACAAAATTAATTCCACTGGTATGCTGAAAATATGCGTTTAATTAGTGTAATTTATTAAAATATGGGCAATATTAAAGAGTAAAGATAACTGATGCCCCTTAGTCTTGATATTTTAAACTGAAATATAAATAAAGAGTTCAGAGTCACCAAAAATCTTCTTAATCTTAAGTAAAAACAGAGAAAACACCAACTTCGTGCTACTAGGGTTATTTGTGTCTGTAATGACTATTCTATATTCCCTGTCTTTTGTAAAAAATTCACTCTGTGCTTTTGTTTCTACAGCCGAAAGTTTCTTTAGGACCAAATTTGAAACCAAGAAGCAACATCAGTCTCTGATGACTCAATGAAATTGTGGGAAAAACTGAGATGCTCTTCAAGGTAAAAGTGCTGTAATTGGAGTAATTACGTATTATATAGAGATTACAAACTCTGTCAGTATTAGAATAAAAAAAAGTTAATTCCAATAAAATGAAATAAACTAAAGAGTGAAAAACCATGTACTGTGATATGTACAAAAAAGTAAAAAACACCAAGAGCCCTATTTGCAATAAAAAAGAAACAGTTTTGTTGTAAGAAGGGTAGTCAACATCATTCAGAAGAAACGCATTCATATAAGGATCAGTGTTGCATAGAATAATTCCAGTACAACCTAGAAGTTTGGTCAGCTGCAAACTTGGCACACTGGCAGGATCTTATGCTCTCTGAAGGGGAATGCTGGTGCACAAAAAGAAGCCCTGTTGTCAACTCTGCTGATTGACCTAGCCCCATCGCTAGTTCCTTGGAACGGAGGGGCTTCTATAATGGAAAGACTCCTACGCTTTCAGGTTAAATAGCTACCAAAGAGATAATCTTTGTTTTGGTGATCCCTCCATTTATATTATTCTAAAAGAAATTGCAACTGGAATGAAGAAAGCTAACTGGTCATACAAACTCTCATGCATACCTATGGATATGAGTGGCTGCAAAAGAGGATCAGAGATGAGTCAGGGTTTTCTTTTAAGGGCAAATACCAGAGCCTTTTTATGTCAGAAGGAGATCTCCTTGGACCTTTTCTTCCCCAATTATGAGTGATGATTATAGGCTTCTTCAAGTGCTAGCTTCTGCTGGAAATATCCATGGCAACCATCAGCAGATCTAATAGTTTCTAAAAATAAAATACTAGCAATATAATGTCTTTGATGATTCCACTCTCCCATGCTCATTTGAGAGCAATGTCAATGGTAAATGACATTGTATTGTCAGTGGAGGGGGATTAAAAAATAGAGGGAAGAAAAGTTATGGTTATCTTTCTCAGTTTGGGGAAGATCGAATTTGTATTCTGAAGTCATATATATATATATATATCCTGGGATATATTAGAAATTCTCTTATTTTTAGTGCTTTACAGTCCTCTCAAATTTAGAGCATTTTTTCTTTAAAAATGAGAAAATTCAATATCCAACCAATATCTAGAGTTGGTTTTCTCTAATTCCACTAACACTTCACCCTTAAATAAAGCAGCAGGTTTTAAGCTCAGAATGCTCTGAGAAGCAATTTGATTTATTTCTTTTGGGTGGAATATAGGACTAGGGTAAGACCAGCATTATTCATTTAATTTGGGATAGCAAAATTTGCATTTTCATGTAATTCTTCACCTTTAGTCAGGTTAAAGTTTATATTTTAAATAAAAAATAAGTTTTGTGGCTAATTTACTGCTTTTATCCATGTCAATCCTTGCCATTGGTTTAGATGATGTTTTTCACATATAAAATTTGAGAATTAAAAAGATATGTAATAATTATTCCTCACTTCTGTGTATAAAACTATATTTGGAAATGTGCTTTCATCTTTCATGGATCATTGATTTATCATCACAACATCTCATTTGGAAGGTTAAGAATATATAATTGTTTTTATCCTATAGATAAGAAAACTGGGGTAAAGTGAGTGTAAGTGACATGTGCAAAGTGACACAGTCAGTGGTAGAACTAAGACCAGAAGACAGGCTTTTATTCCCTGCTGAGTGTTTTTTCCACAACTTCACGTTACTTCCTTAATTAATAATGCTGATAGAGAAGAGGGTGCTTCATTTTAAGACTTGGACATTAGTTGTTTTATTCATTATTATTAAAATAGCTCAAAGTATATTTTAATCTCAGGTAAATGTTGACTTTTCACATATTTTCCCAACATTGATGAACTTGATCACTGTGATACTGTCACTAAAGTAAGAAAATAGAGCACTAGAGAGAACTCGAGTTTAGTGTCATGTTTTCATGATACAATCAGTAAATGAATTAAGTCATTAAGGAAAAAAGCATAAAATATTATGAAATGAGGATCCATTTAATTAATCAATGTCACAAGATTAATATGGTTTGTTTGCCAGAGAAAGAATTTTCTTTCTCTGTCAATGCATCGCTCAACAGAAAGGAAATGTGCAGGATAATACATTTATTTGCAGTTTCACAAAGAGTAAGTTATCATGCTTCCTAGAACATATCAGTTTACTCTAGGTCCTTTGGTACATAGACTGAAGATGTCTTGGCTTAATGGTAAATTATGAAGATTTTGATGGTTTCAACCAAAATTCCAATATTTTATGGGGCAACATTCTTCTTTGTTAGCCAGTCATAGTTTTATTTCTAGATAAATTCAATTTTATTTCTACTGAGTATTATCTTCACTCTACCTTGTTTCAAATGATACAGAAACAAATGTGCTTTTACCACATGGATTCCAAAGTCAGTGTTGTATATGCTTGTAACATTTAGACACAGAGAAAACTGGTAAAATATGGCCTGAAAGCCACAATTTCTACATCTCCTCTTCCATTTTCCCTAAGAACACAGCCACCTCACTTCCAGCCCTGGACACATACTGTAGGTATATCTTATGTCAGAATCTGAAAGCAGCAAGTTGTCTGAATAGAAGACGATGAAGGAAGATTTTTGAAGTTTTGAAAACTGAGATTTGTTACATCAGTCCTTTCCTTTCAACCAAGGCTCCTTTGCATAAAGAATTACCTTTGTGCTGCATGAAAACCACATTAATCTTTGAGCCTGTCTTAAGCTATAGCTCAACTCTACTCAAAGATTATTGTCTTAAGTAATCAAAATTTGTTTCACAGTTTCTCTTCACAGCCATGGGAAATTCAAGGTCTCAGAACTCCATTCTTCTTGTTTTCAGTATGTGAACTTTTTCAGTTGAATATCTTTGTGTGATCCACAACAATAAATGTACAAGGTCTTAAGTATGTTTTTGCTTGTTGTTCCCACTCTTATGTTTGCCTCTCAAAACTTAGCTTTGTACAATAGTATTCAACTATAGTCTTGATGTGAGGCTATTTAGAGCAGTTTCTATACCCTGAGAAGACATGTTTCTTCAATGCGTTTGAGTAGGACTGACCAAAAGTTTGTGCCAGTTGACTATTCTTTTTCTGAGATCCACTTTGTCAAGCCAGATACAGGCTTCACCAATCAAGGTCTTTTTCATAAACTTCCCTCCATTGGAGAAAAGTAAAATCTAGAAAAAATAGGCAAAAATAAACATATTTAATTTATACACATATACATGTGTATAGTTTTCAACCTTTTTTAAGGACATTTAATCATCAAAGACATAGCACGAAAGAGGGTGACGCTGAGTAGAAGTAGCAGACATATTTGCAGGAGAACTGATAACCAAGGTGTTCTCAAAAGATTTGCATGTAATATAAATTAATTCACATCAACATTTGTATTATTCTGCAAAGGAAAAGACACATTCTGAAGAATGTGAGAATACTAGGTAAGAAATGTCTAACTAGCTAATTCTAAGTTTATGCTTAAACTGATGGAAAGTTTCACAAAATAACTTTGCCAAATAATTTTTTACTAGTTTACACAAATCCAAATCAAATAAAAGATTATCTGTATTCTGAATAAATAAATATAACTTCACAGAGCATTGTTTATATTTAGTATGAAATTTTCTGGTGATTTTACTATAGTATGTACTTCCAAGCTGTTTTCTGAAGTCATATGCAGAACTTATCACAAGGGTCTCAAACTAAAGAATTTTTTTTTTTCATTTTAAAGATGAGTTGAAGTAAAGAGAGCATTCAGTGGAGCTAAGCAGTAATCCTTGTAATTTTATTCTCTTTTTCTCTTCAGAATCTCCAGTTATATAATTTACCCTTATTCCTGGCGAAAACTTTTATGCTTCTTACTTCAAAATTTGTACTTCCAGATATGACTATCTCTTCTGGTTTCTGGTTCAGGGATTTCAAGTGACATTGTATATTTTCACTCAAATCTCTGCCTTCTTATCAAATTCATTTCGGACAAACTATTGGTCTTTCTCTATTCCAAATTCCCTGACTACGTAATCTCTGTGAAATAATACATTTGTTGACACAGACTTCAGAGTGTCATTTCACATTTTTATTCCCTTCCAGTCTAATATCAGTTAATCTTCTCAATACATTTTTGCTTTGTAATATCTTTTATCTTTGTCTCTAATTCAAACCTTTAATTTCCTGTACCATGGTCTCTTCCTATATTTTTTTCTCTTTTCTCATTCCCCCATTTCTACTTTTATTCCTTGTCTCTATATCTACTAAAGACGTACTATGTGCAAAGCATTGTGCAGGCTGTAGGCAATGAAAATTAGTCCTTGCCCTAGAGAAACTGATAGCATAGAAGCAGTGACAGGTAAGTACAGATATTGTTGTTACAAGACAGACTGGGATTGATAGCCTACTAATAGAAGCAAAATGCTTTGTGAATAAGGTAAGATGAATTATACCCAGGGTCATCAGTAAGGAGATGAAAGATGTGGAGTATTGTGATAGATGGCGAGAGTTGGAAAAGGGAGCTTTGAAGGGGAGAAAAAATATGAGCAAAGGATTGGAGGCTTAACATGACTTGAAAACAGTCTGTTGTGACTTGGAGTATTAAGTGAGTGGAAAAGTATCCAAGGAGCTGAGACTAAGTCAATACAATTAAAACTCACTTTGGAGGACTCTGAATGATTCAAGATAATGGTGAGTAATTGAAGAGCTTTAATGTAAACTAACCAGGGTTTTAAAATGTAACTCTGGCAGTGCTGTGATGAAATGAACTAAAGGGATAAGGCATAAATGACAATAGGCCAGGTAAACAGATGAAATGATTTGAATAACAAAGATGGGGGCCCAAAAAGGTTTAGTGGCAGTAAGCATGGAAATAAGAAGAATCTATGTAAAATAAACTCCACAGACAGGGTAGAGAAGGCTTGGCAGCTGATTGGATGGGGTGAGTGGGCTGTGGAATTCTAAAAGATTCCTGGGGAGATACTGCTGAAAATTAATTAACTTCTCAAATGTCATATAGTGTATGATCAGTATATAAATATTGAATAATGGGATAAAAATAAATACAATATGAATGAGAAGTTTCAAATATGAACTACATAATACAGAGCTACCTGAAGAGAATGTCCTGCAGGACTTAGACTGAATCGAAAAGTTTCATTAAACGAAGGCTCTCGATCATGTCTGCATACTCTTGTTTTTTTCTTGATCACCTTTTTTTGGGTAGAAATATTCATCACATATATTTTCACATATAAATCTGAAAATAAGAATTCAGCCCATTAAATTCCATCAATCATATAAATTTCTATTGAAAGAATTATAACTGTATACTGAGAGTTCTTGTTACATTTTGCACAAAGCCAGCAGATTGTAAACGATTTGTTTCAGATAACATAAAATGATTAAAAGATATGTCTTTTTTTTTTTTTTTTTTTTTTTTTTTGAGACAGGGTCTTACTCTGTCACCAGTCTGGAATGCAGTGGCCAGATAACTCACTTAACTTCAAACTCCTGGGCTCAAGTGATCTTTCTGCTTCAGTCTTCTACATAGAGGGACTACAGGCAGGAGCGACCACACCTAACTGATATATCTATTTTTCTTAACAATTTAAAATTGTCCTTCTGTTGGCTAATGAATATAACACTATAATGTATATGTTAAAATATCTAGCTAAAAACTGAAAGAAAACAACTTGTTACATATGTTAATCAGTTATTTTTTCTGACATATTTGGTGTACAGTTCAAATTTTAGTTAACATTTTCCAGAATATGTAAGACACATCCCTAAAAAAATCTAGATATATTGATGATTATAATAGAATTAGATACCTGGTAGATGATCAGGAGACTTAAATTTGTATGTAATATTTCTGCATTGGAGAATTTCAACTATTAGTTGTTCACCATCTGTCTTCATTTCCTTCTTCAATGCAATCTTGATTTCTCCCATTACCTGAGTTTTAGCTGGGAGAATTTAATAAAAATGCAAAGAAGTATGTAATGCCATATATGAAATGTTTAGTTCAGTAATTCATTCATACATTCATTTACTCTTTATCAAGTGCTAAGTATCTTATGACATCCTAAGTGCTAAATATCTTATGACTGTATTTTATTCATCTGTATATTTATTTACAGGTGAATAAATTAATTCACAGATGAATAAAATACACAAAATTTATCACAGATTCATTTATTCAGATATGAATAAAATACAGTCCATGCCCTTAAGCCTGTAAAGAGTGAAGAATCTTATGGGTAGACTGATAAATACACAGATGCTTACACCAAAGTATGTTAGACATAATGATAGCTTAGCAACAAGGGAGGTATGAAGAAATGCATGTAGATAAATTTTACTCAACTGTAGACTTTAGGACAAAAGAAGTAATAGATATGACTGTATCAATTCACATAGATATGACTCTATCAAGGGATATGACTCTATATCAATTCATGCGTTAATTCACTTATTCATTCTCCAACAAATATTTTATTTCCCACCCTACTCTGTGCTAAGCACTCCACTAGGAAGAGTGAATATAATGATAAGCCAAAACGTGCGTGCTTATTGGTTTCATGCTTTTTCTATCTATTGGGAAGAAAACCATTCATCAGATATTTTCATCAATAAATATATAATTATAAAAAGAGGAAAGGTTCTGAAGTATAGAAGTATGGTTTCAATGGAGGCTAAAACAAAGGAGCAGATGCTTAGGGAGGTGCTGCTTAAGCTGAAACCAGAAGGATGAGAGTTAATTAGGTGAGACGGATTAGGAAGGACATTCCAGAGAGAAGGAACAGTGTGTTCTCAAAAGGAAATATAACATGAGAAATAAATGCCTATGTGATAGTAACATATTGTAAATAGAAGCCATGTTAAGAATTTGGTTTTTCTGTTTAGATCTCTAGGAATCCATTAAAGGTCTTTAAACATGGCTGTAGATAATTTATTCTCAAACATTTTGATCTCAGGAATTCTTTACACTCAAAAAAAATTGACAGTCTTCAAAGAACCTTTGTTTATGTGGATAACTACCAATATTAGAAATATAAAATTTCTAATTTTTAATTAAAATTGAAAAGTAGATATTTAAAAATATTTATTAATCAAATCAAATGACAACTGCTTTAATGAAAATGTTTTAAAGAACATAATCATATTTTCCAAACCAAAAAAAATAGAGGTACTGTTTTATATTTTTTCAAATTTCATTAGTGCATGGCTTAATAGAGGACAACTGCATTCTCTTTCTTTCGCTCTCTTTCATTTCTTTCTTTCTTCTTCCTTCTGTAGAGATGGAGTCTTGCTATGTTGCCTAGGCTGTTCTCAAACTCATGGCCTTAAGCAATCCTCCTGCCTTGGCCTTACAAAGTGCTGGGATTACAGACATGAGCCATACTGTACCTCACTTCTTTTTTCCTTTTAGAGATAGGGTCTCACTCTGTCGCTCAGGCTGAAGTGTAGTGGCCCGATCATGGCTCACTGCAGCCTCAGACTTCTTAAGTCAACCATTGTATTTTGGTATGTGGCATAAGCACTTTAAGAATTTTTCCTGTTTAGTCACATGAATATTAGAAAGAAATGCACTGAAGGATTTAGATTTTTAAACAGTTGAACTGATTCATCGAGGATACCCTTAAGTGAAACTGGCATTTTTTTCCCTGTAAGAGCATGTTGGTAAATAAATAAAGTGTCTACTAGCATAGTTTCTTGCCACTGCCTTAATAGGAAATAAGTCCCTAGCACTTTCATGCACTATTACTTTGCACTACCAATATAAATATCAACCAAGTGAAAAAGGTAAGTAATTTCAGCGTATTTTGAAAATAATTTTGACTTTATGAACTTAAAAATCTCGCGGAACCACGGAGGTCTGTGAACCACATTTCGAGAATCAGTGTTATAGAGTATAGTTGAGTAATTTTTGAAAGAAAATGAAATAACAAAACACTGTGAGTAAAGTTGTAAAAATATTAGGCTGTAGTTATTTGATCATTTTGATTTAATTTTGTCACATTTTGGGGATATAATTGATAGATGTATTCTTTTCTGGATTAAGCAACTGTTTGATGAAATTAGCTTAAAATTTGTAAGTCCAGATATACCCTTACATGTGGAAAAATATCTATAACATATCTCTCCTCGCTCTCTTCCTCTGTCAAAAAACTAATACTGTAGTCCAAAAATTGACAAAATTATCTTCTATAAGTTTTATAAACTAAAATACAAATCTTCCAGAGTTAAATAATAATTCATGAGCCAATGATTAGAGATAGTTCATAGTAGAGAGATGTTTACTTTCAAGAAACTCCAAGCATAAATAAAAGATTTTATATCCAGCTAACCTGTCTTTCAACTATCAAGCCTACAATTTTAAGCATGAAAGAACTCAGGGAATACTTCACAAAGTTTGACTCTCTCAGAAATATATAAGATAAATTTCATCAAATGAAAGAGACAACTAGAGAAACTTCAGCAAAGGGACTGATGGTAATTATTCAATATAATTAATTGTAGAACTAAGATTGAGCAGTACATAGGTTGGTGGAAGAATAGTATGGAAATGTCATATTTATGACAAAGTATAAAGTATGAAACTAAAAATTAATGAATAAAGAAGGGAGAGAGAAAGAGGAAAGCAGAATGGGATTACTGATTTTTGTATAGGTAATAGGTAACAAAGGATGCCATTTAAAACTAACAAACCAGGCAGTCAATGGTCATGTAAGAGGAACAGGAGTTAGACATTATAAAAACTATAAATAAAAGGAAAACCTTTAGAACAAAGATACAAAGCTTTCTTAATTCCAAAAGAAAATTAAAAAACCCAGAGGCCAAGTGGAGAAATATCATCAATATGACATAACATACACAATGATTATAAAATAAAATGCAGAGTTGAGATTAAGCATATCTATTATATCACTAAACATGAGTAAGTTTTAGCTAGTCTATTTTAAAAATTGTTTCAGATTGGCTCACAAAGCAAAGCCTAGTTCTATACTATGTACAAGAAATACAACTAAAATCTGGTTTTATTCCAAATAGTAAAAAATACAGATATTGGCAAGTATGTCAGGCATATGGAATCAATAAGAGTGCAGAGGTTGAGATCTTATTATCAGATAAAACAGAATTCAGGCCAAAATGCAGCAAATAAGACAAAGAAAGACACTGTATGAAACTAGAAATCCATAAATCATAATGAAGACACAACAGTTATCAATATCCGTGTACCACTTATGTAAAGTTGAAACTACAAAGTAAGATGCAAGAATATAGAGGATTTGAGGAGTAAAGATGATAATAATGCAATATTAACAGTGTAAGACAAGGCAAGTGAACTAAAAAACTAGATAAAATATTGAGACACTATAATCAATAAAGTAGATCTCACGGATATGTATCAAACACTATACCCTGATAATAATGAATATACCTTTTTCTTAATCATCTATGGAACATATTCAAAAACTGATCATATATTGAGTTACAAAGAAGACATTAGTGGGTTCTATAAAATGAAGCTATTATCAAATTATGTGATAATACACTCAATGGCTTTCAACTAACCAACTTTTGGGTGAATGGAAAAATATATGAAAAAATACAGAAGTTCTGAAAAATAATGGTAATAAAACACTATATATCAGAATCTGTAAGAGTTAAAGAAATGATCACATGAAAATAAATAGCTTTAAACTCCTGTATCATTTCAAGTAATGATTAGAAAATACACATATTCTTCTATCTGCTATCAATAAAAAAATAAAAAATACAATTGGTTTAAATTCCAACTCAAAATCTAGAAAGGAACAACAAAATAAAATAAAAGTAAGTACAAGGAAGGAAATAATAAAGATGTCCACTAAAATTAATAAAGTAGGGAACAGAAAAAAAGTAGATAAAATTAATAAATCAAAATTCTGGTACTTTGAAAAACCCACCAACAAAATAGAAAAATTAATAGTGAATTTAGTTAATGTCATGTGGCTTCTTAACATTACTATTTAGAAATGACATGTGTTCTCTTAACTGTAACACTACTCTCCTCTCAAAGATTTGGTATAAAATGTCTGGTGTCATGAATATACCCTAATACTAATTGGCTCACATTTTGTTTATACATTCTTGACAGATGGGAAACTACAAATCTCACCTTATATGTTTCTTTGAATTTGTGAGGGCAAATTCAGTTCTGGTCACTTAACCATTTTAAATAATCATAAACAAGTCCATTAAAAATCTATCTTTTTTTAAAAGGAGCTTCACAGGAAAATAAAGGATCTCTAAAATAAAAACGAGAAAATGAATCAGATCTTAAGATCTCCCTTCTTCAATATCTAGAGAAGTTAGCGGGGGGAGAAAAAAAAGTAAAATGTAGGAAAGTGGTAACCAGTACCAACGAAGCAAGGAATAGGTTATAGTCTCCGGACAGAAAACCCAAAGAAGTGATGTCTAGGAATGAAAAGGCAGTTTCTGGTAAGGTACAAGTCAGCAGCATTCTTGAGTACAACAGATATCACAAAATCTTGTCAGGAAAAGAGAAATGAATTGACAAAACCCTGAGAATTATTACTAAATCCCCCATCTTAGGGAAGTAGATGAACAATGAGAGTAGCTAGCCCTAGGAAAAAATCAAAATAAACCTTTGAGAGTGGCAGCCTTGGCTTATCACTATGAAGATTCAAGAGTCTCAGTAGAATCAGGAAAAACAGACATGCCTCCCCATTACTGGAGCTCCAAGATAAAGTAGGGGAAATATGTAAAGCTTAGTATATCTTTTCATAGGAATAACATGCACCTCTGCTTGGTTGAGTGAACACTGACAGAAAACATTTAATCAAATGGTAAAAGAGGTAGCAAAAAACCTAGTTAAATGAGGTGGCAAATCTATCTATCAGGCACCTCTCACTCTTTCCTTTAAAGCCATAGAAAAGTAGATAGCTACTCCTCAATCTCTCAAACCATACCTGGGAGGGAAGGAAAAAGAGGTTTCTAACATGGAAGGGAGGGAGTCAAGGAAAATTCTCTCTTGCTATTTGGAGTCAATAGCAGTTGTGAATAGAATTGATCACACTAATGATCATGATGAAATAGAACAGCAAGACAAATTTTATCTGGGAGAAATTCACTTTTATAGGTCATAGTCTTCCATTATAGGCCTAAAAGCTCAACACACCGCATATGTGAAATTTGTTGTTTTTCGCCTTCTCACTTGGGGAGAAAAGTGGAATTAAAAACTTGCTAATTGAAGTTCTCAAGTCATCACATTGCTTGTTTCTTTCTTGGAATGCTTAACTTCACAGGCTTCACAGTGTGATACTTGTGAAATTTTTTTTATAAGTTTCTCTCTGTTCAAAGATTGAACGAGCTTGTTCTTTGCTACTAAAGGAAGAAAGGACGTGCTTACTGAGGTTGTCTCAAAGCAGGTGGTTGCGTTAATTGTGGGTCCATTGCTACCTCTTATATCTGACCTTTTATAGGTTTGTAATGCTTTTGTCTTTTGAAGCAAATACATGGATGGAGGCAAAATCCTCCGTGTTTGCAGGTTGGGCAGCAGCTCCAGATCTGCTTGAGCCTTTGAACAAAACAAACAAACAAACAAACAACAAAAAACCATCACACACACAGAGGACATATGATGATGTTTTATAATTTGGTTTGGATAAAGAGTGAAATGGCATTAGAAAATGCTTTGACCAGCCTTCAGGTCTCCTGGCGTCCTGAAACTTATGCTTCTTTGGTCGTATTAAAAGAATAAAAATTAATCCTACTCTAGAGAAGATATTTATCCTATAATGTGGCACAAATCTACAACTTAAGAACAGGGAGGAGAAGAGGAAGGGATGGAGGATGTAGAAGTCATGGTTAAAAATGAGATGACAAAATAATATATGAGGTGAAAATGGAGATGCCAGATCTAAGAACACTAATAATCACATTTTAAAACTATTAGTGAAGTGGAAACATCATGGTACAAAATGAGATAAGATAGAAATTAAGATTATTGACATGGAGGAAAGAAAGAATTAAGATAATATAGAGAACATAGAGAATAAAGGTAGAGAACAAAGATTGAGGTATAGAGAAGAAAACTATGATACATATAATCTTTTCTCAGAAAAAGTAAATTCAACAGAATAGAAAATAATATCTATTTAAAAATATCAAATTATTTCTCCCAAATAACAGAAGAATAAATCTGTGGACCAAAAGTGCATCCTATATTTCTGGAAATATTGATGAGTTGATACACTGATATATCCCATTTAATATTATACTTCAAGAATATAGGAATCATTCTTAAAAGGATTCAGGAGAAAAAGAAATAAGTTCTCTGAAAGATATATCAATGTATAAAAGAAATTCATTCTGAAATATATAAGACTATGGCAGAGGATATAGCAATGATTGAGTGAAAGAAAGAAGGAAAGAAAAGCAAAAAGGAGGGAGGGAGGGAAGGGAGAAAGAGACAGGGAGGGAGGAGGAACTTGAAGATGAAATCCAGACAATTAATAAAATAAGAAAGTGGAAGAGAACTAATTTACTTACAATTTAAAACAGAGAATCAACTGATAAAATTTAAAATTAAAACATAGTATTAGGCTGGGGACGGTGGCTCACACCTGTAATCCCAGCAGTTTGGGAGGCACAACTGGATGGATCATTTGAGGACAGGAGTTCGAGACCAGCCTGGCCAACATGGCAAAAACCCGTCTTTACTAAAAATACAAAAATTAGCCAGGCCTGGTGGCGTGAGCCTGTAATCCCAGCTCCTCGGGAGACTGAGGCACGAGAATTGCCTGAACCTGGGAGGCAGAGGTTGTAGTGAGCCAGGATCATGCCACTGCATTCCAGCTTGGGTGACAGAGTGAGACTCTGTCTCAAAAAAAAAAAAAAAGTATTAAAATGTATAATTATTCAACCTCAATATTTTAAATTTTGTCTCTTAAACTTCGTGAAAATTTTTAATAAAGTAATATGGCTAAAATATTTATTGAAATTAACTCATTCATTTTTTCCTTAAAATACAATTAAATTTAAAATATAATCATTTTTTGATAAACATGAATATTTTAATTCTACTTTAACAAAATTGATTCTTGCTTTCTCTTTAGCTAAAGTGTTTCTACTAATGTAACTGTCAAATTGGCTTATTTTTATCTTCCACAGCAATTCTTAAATCACTTTCTGGTGCTTTATTCTCAATTAGTATATACAATGGCCTTCTCACTTTTGAATTTTCTCAGATAAAAATTTTATATATATTTTATCTTTGAAAAATATGTGTATGTGATATCTATATGCATACATTTGTACACATACCTCTATCTCTAGCTATCTAATTTGCATTTATAGAGAAACATTACGATTAACAGAATACAATCATCATTTCACCAAAAGAAATAGATTGGTATAATTTCTATTTTACACATGAGAAAAAAGTGGTTTGGGTATTTCAAGTAACTTGCCAAGTCGTTAAATGGCCCTGGCTGAACTTTAATCTAGATCTTCTAATTTTAAGTCTAAGGCTCCATTCTCTCATGGCTACTTTAGATTTTCTGTGAATAAGATTGCGAAAACACTGACTTCATGGGAATATTCGCTTTAAAACATTTTTGTAACACAGTATCAGAATAAAAGAGTTTACAGAGGCTATTTTGCTTTTTTCTTTTAGTCACATACTGGACTTTAGAAAGAGGAGATGGCATAGTAAGCAACTCTTTAAATTGTTTAAACAACGGAAGATGTCTTCCAGAAGTTATTGTCTACATAGGCACATAGGTCAATTATGAAAATTGTTTAGATTAAACAATAAACACAGCAATGCTTTTTTTTGAAATATTCATCATTATGTGAAATTGCTAAAACATGAAAAGTGACTATTAATTGAGAAGATATTTCTTTTTTATTACATTATTGGTGTCTGTACCACTTAACTGGACATAGTATAAAGTGAGTTTACTGTCTCTCAGAATTCTAACAATTCTATTGCAACCTCAGCAGTTGTTGCCAGTGCAAGACCATTTTAGGCAAAAGTCTCTTTAGAGGCAAGTTTTAAGTAACTGGAAATGAATACAATGTGGAAGAGAAAAGAAGGAAAGAATGATACCTTGTAAACGAAAAGTCTGCGTAAGAAAAAAAGCAGAGTGAACAAAATTCTCGTCCCATTACACTGTATTTGCAAATTTTCACTAATAAATACCACATAGCAATGATGTAGGTCACTGGTGCTAGCTAATGAAGTCTGAATTGGTGTCTGATAAGATGCATATTTAGCCATGACAGTCTATCACCTCATAATTTGTTACCTAGCTCCCATCACTTATTCCAAATCGATAAAAACTCTAAGACAGATTTTAAAAACCAGGAATTCTGGCTTCTAGCCCCGTGAGATGGCAGGCAAGTCATTAAATCTTCTGCTCTAAATAATTGTGTTGGTTTACTTAGTTTTCAAACCCAGTCATTATGGAAAGTCTTATTAATGCCCTACTAGCTGTTAATAGCCAAAGTAGTGATGTATATTCCCACAAGTGTAATTTGATTTTCCTTCCTTTTATTGTTTCTATTCTACCAGTTTCAAGCCTAGGTGATGAAAGTGATGATCTTTTTCAAATGCCAAAATTACAAAGGTAAATTGTTAGTACAATCCCTGAAGTGATAATTACTCAATAAGCATTAATTCTTTTTATTTCTCCATATTCCCTTATTCTTTTTTTAAAAATTAGATTTTCAATTGACAAATAATAATTCTAGATATTCATGGAGTACAATGTGATATTTGATATGTGTTTATAATATGGAATGTTTAAATCATGCTAAGAAATAAACCCATCATCTCACTCAATTATCTGTTTTCTTCCAAAATTTTTGATGCAGTGGAAGACCATTAGAAGCACTTGACAATTTATGCCTAGAAAACATAAGGTTAATTGCTCAGTTCATTCAGAGTAAACAAAAAACCAATAAGATCTTGTATTCAAATATTCAGTAGATTTTAATAGAAATTTCTAAAAAAAAAAGGACATTTTTCACTTTGCTGAATCTATTAGAGAAAGTCAGCTCTCTATAATTTGTCCTGTTCACTAATCTTTTTCTATAATTTCCAATGAGGTGTATTAACATTACCCTGGAGTCTTTAATAATTTTACCTAACATGCTGAAATTGTATCTCTCCTCTAAAAGATCAAAGGCCTTCTGACTCTGGTACTCAAGAATTACCTATAATTAGTGCTTTTCTTTTCTGCATACTATATCCTCGAGTAGCAAAGCAAGCTACTCGATTTTTTTAAAAAACAATTCTGATAATCTTATTTGCATTGAATTTTATCTTCTGGTATATCATTGTTTTACAAAGGCTATATTAAAGCCGCTGATATGTTTTAAATTTAATTCCCAGAAATATGTTTTCTGAACAAAGTTTCTTACTTCTACAGAACATTTTATGTGTAGGACAACATAGAAGGAATGAAGAACTGTATTTTTTTAAAGGTTTATCCTAGTTACCGTGTGTTTGAAAGAGGGAAGCAGAATGTAACTATTTTATTCTATAGTAGGTTAGATTTTATTATAAAATAAAAATACCATGATTGTAAGATCTCCTAAGTTCAGCTTGGATAAATTAGCCTGCTTATACAATGAAAATTGTATGAAAATGGAGCCACTAGCTAGCTCCCTTATTCAGATCCCTTTTTTTCTTATGTATCTAACAAATGACTATAAATGTTTGAGTCCAGTTTTCACTAACACGTACTATGATTAAAGAGTTATAAAGAGAATTCCTAAGATAGAATTTGTTAAGTTCTTTAGGTTCAAATATAAATTATTTATTTAGAATGCAACTCACTGGATTTGGTTTTCAAGTAAAAAAAAATTTTCACCCTTCAAATTTTTCAAGAAATATAATTTTCCACTCTCTCATAGTATAAACTCATCTGCAATCAAGTGGATAATATTATAGTATTGTCAATGACAAATACCAGTTGAATCACTTGAAAAATAACATGTAAACTTCTGTCATTATATCTTGTTTTTTAGCAACCATTTTAAATACAGTATATATTACTACCCTCACTTTAAAAAAAGGAGACTAACTAATTGACAAAGGTCACACAACTGGATTAAATGTTTCCATCAAGATAGCCCAGGATTATTGGCAAAATTGTGGTAATCTATTATGTGATAATAATTTTGGGCCAAATTCATGTGTGTACTCCTAGGCGTGTATATATTGTGGAGACAGGAGTGGTTATTTATGGGGAGATTAGCATTAGTGTGTGTATAAAGTGGGGAACTGGGGACCCAGGATTTGTGAGGAGTATATTCTGGAAAGATGAGTTACAATCAAGATAGGGAATAAATGCTTACCCATTTCCTTTCCAAAACATTAGCTTATGAAGGCATACTTTTTTTTTGTTTGTTTTATGTAGGGAGTTACAACGGACTCAAATGGTAATAACAATGTATTTCATTCATTGAACAACGCTTGCTCTTCAGACGTTTTATATATTCCATCTACAGCCTTAAAGAACTGTCCCTTATTTATCTTTGTCTTTGTAGCCCATAGAAAAGTCAGCTAGTCTATATTAGATGTTTAATAAACAAATTTGTATTATTTCTCTAATCTTTCCAGCAATTCTACAAGGTAGATATCATTTCCACCTCTTTTGGAAGAAAGTAATTTATCAGCTCTAACTCAAAAACCCATGCTTGTCCCATGCCACTAAGCTGAGGCCATTGATGAGAGATATTTCGGATATTTTTTTTCAAATCTATGGTTTCACCCAAAATAAATGATTGTCAATCTATTAATTTCATTTTTATTTATATGTATATCAGAGCCTCTATTATTGAAAGCTATGGGGTGGCCTCCTAGCACATTCTCATGTTTTAGGGCTAAGTGGGGGCTGAGGGAAGAGGCATTTTTAAGTGTTTTCATTAATTTTTTTTCCCCAAGGAAGAATAATTCTGTAAGCTTTCATTAATACCTTTATTTGAAATAACCCAGATTCAACGAGATATTTTATACAATAAGGCAGGCATTCTGGCCTAATAAGATTTAAAAGTTCTGTGAAAGTAGGACAAGCCTGCACATTCTCTCTGTATTCTGTTATATAAAGAAATCCTTTCTTTCTGAGATAAAGCCAGAAAGAACACAATTTTAAGCAGAAGAAAAGTTTTTTCTGATTGATCTCCTTCAGTGTTTTTTTGGCATTTTTGTCCTTTTGGTATGTGCTTCTTAGCATTTATTTTACTGTGTCTGAAAATAACCAGATTTCTTTAAATTTTTTTGTAAGGGAAAGCCTCTTACTATTTTATAGGAGACAACAACAACAAAAATGTTTCACTATTACAGAGGAAAAACTGAAATTGTAAATGGACATTACATTTAAAACATCTAGAGTTTTGAAATAATTTTTAAAAGCCTCAAGACCACAAAGCCCAGGAATGAGGTAGGAGAGCTGGTATGATAGACCAACATGCTAGCAAAGTCTCCTTCCAGAAAGCAGTCAAGCTTAACGAAACAAGGTTGTTTCCTGAGTTCCGAAGGCCTTGGCTACAACTCCCAAGCATTTATATTGACTTTTGATCTAAAAGCAGAGCACCCACCCAGGAAAAGTAGTGGGTCTGTATATCTTCTTTAAACTCGGAATAACATTAGCATCGTCATATAACCCATTTAGAAAATAAAACCAGAAAAAGTATAATGTAAGAAAAACTAGGAGCTCCTGTGAGGAAAAATAATCTGTGTCTGTAAGTGAGAAGCTACCAATAGCTGTAGAACAACCTCCAGCTTCTCCCAGGAGTGGATGGTGGTGACCCTGCAGTCAGATAACCTCTGAGTGAACCTGTGAAGACCTCCTGAATGAACGTAAATAGCGGTGGCAGTCAAATGTTCCATTGGTCCATTAGGTTACTTGCATCATTTCTCCCTCTTTGTCCTTAATCTTATCACTCTTAAAATGCAATAAATGTGATCCTCCTTGCAGTTTTAACTGACTGTCTGGTTTTATGCTTTCTTCAGAAGCAACATAAAGGAATATTTTACTGTTCCATTCTATAAAACCCTTTCTAAACACTATTTTTCCAGCTAACACTTTACCTCCCTTCCTTAACTGTCATGCTAGATGAAAGAGCAAACTCTAATTCCACCCCAATTATTTCTTCTTAATCCACTTGTGCTATTCTTTTTTTTTTTATTCTCTTCAGTTCCCCTCTTCATTAGTCTCTTGCCTTCTTTTGCCCCAAGAGGAAGAACACTATGAACTTCATCACCTGGGTTTCCTTAGCTTCTGACTTCCAGGGTTTCAGTAATAATTACCAGCAAGAAATCTGAAGGTAAGAGGAGAGAGCCCAGGGTACCTATATCCTTCTGTCTTCCAATCCTGTCTGTTGTGGCATTGTTTTGCAGAGGTTATGACTTCCTACAAGGCTGTAGCTCTTACCCGGGATCCCCTCCAACATGGCGATAGCTCTTGCTGGATTCCGGCAGCAGCCTCCCTCCTCATGATTCTTTAGACCAAAAGGTAGTAATGGCTTTTTGTTGGGGTTAGTTCCTGTGTGCTTGCTTCATCTTCCCTAGTTAGTTCCTTTCTCCTTCTTCCCTTTGTAGGAGCTCATTTCATTAAATTCTTTTTAACTACCCTCTTGAACATGTCAGCTGATTCTTGCTAGGACCTTATGTAAGAGCCACTATTGCATATGAAGTTAGATAAGAATCCAGAATTTTTTTCTCTTTATAGGGAGGTATTCTCCCAATTCCATCTATTAGACAGTCCCATTTGACTTGTGATGCCACTTTTGGTTCTCACGTATTCCTGGATCTATCTCTATGCTTTGTACACTGTGCCATTATTCCTTTCATTTTGCACAAGTACCAGACCATTTTTATCATTATATCTTGATACCTTGCAGGGTAACTTTATCCTTGTATAAGTCGGGATAGACTAGATTCTGCTGCAGCAAAAAAAGTTGCTTTTGTTTTCCTATAGGTATCTTGGTTATTTTATATGTTAATTCCAAAATACTTTAATAATTTTTTTAAAGATTGGTTTTAGAGCAGTTTTATGTTCACAGCAAAATTGAGAGGAAGGTACAGAGATCTCCTGTATACACCCTGTCCCCAGACATACTTAGCCTCTCCCATTATAAACACTTTCCACCAGGGTAGTTCATTTGTTACAATTGATACACCTACAATGACACATGATACATCAGTATCGCCCAAAGTCCAACATATAAATTAAGGTTCATTCTTGTTGTACATTCCAGGGGTTTGGAAAAATACATGACATATATCCACCATTATAGTATCATAAAGTATTTTACTGCCCCCCAAGTCTTCTGTGTTCTGCCTATTCATTCCTTCTCCCCGCTAAACCCCTGGCAGCCACTGATCTTTTTGCTGTTTCCATAGTTCTGCTTTTTCCTAATGTCGTATAGTTGAAACGAAGTAGATATAGATTTTTTAGATTTTTTTCATTTAGTATGCATTTAAGTTCCTTCCATGTCTTTCATAGCTTTATAGCTCATTCTTTTCAGTATTGAACAATATTCCATTGTCTGAACAATAAACCACAGTTTATTTATCCATTCATCTACGGAAGGACTTGTTGTTTGCTTCCAAGATTTGGCAATTATGACTTAAGCTGCTATAAACATCCATGGGCAGGTTTTTTTGTGGTCATGAGTTTTTAATTCCTTTGGGTAAATATTAAATAGCATGATTGTGGAATCATATAGTAAGAGCATATTTAATGTTGTATAAAATCGCCAAACTGTTTTCCAAAGTGGCTGTACCATTTTGCATTCCCACTGGCAACGAATGAGCATTCCTGTTGCTCCACATCTTCTCCAGCATTTGGTGGTGCCAGTGTTCTGGATTTTGGTCATCTAATGGGTGTGTAGGGGTATATCACTGTTGTTTAATTTGCATTTCCTTGATGGCATATGATATAGAACATCTTTTCATATGCTTATTTGCCATCTATACATTTTTGGTAAGGTGTCTGTTAAGGTCTTTGGCTCATTTTTTAAATTTGTTGTTTGCATTCCTTAAAGTTCTTTTATAGTTTGGATAACAGACCTTTATAAGTCTTTTGTAAATATTTTTTCCCAGATTGTGGGGCTTACAGTTTTATTCTTTTGACAGTGTCTTTCTCAGATCAGAAATGTTGTAATTTTAATGAAGTCCGATTATTGAATTTTTCTTTCATAGACTGTGCCTTTGATATTATCCCCCCAAATTGTCTAGATTTTCTCCTATGTTATTTTCTATGAGTTTTATAGATTTGCATTTTGCATTAAAGTCTATAATTCATTTTATGTTAATTTTTATAAAGCATGAGTTCTGTGTCTAGGTTAACTTTTTTGCATGTGGAGGTCCAATTGTTCCAGCACCATTTGTGAATAGATAAAATACTTTTTAGTTTTGATATTATGAATAATATCATTATTGTTGTTACTGTCATTATGTATTTATGGTTACTTACTGGTGATATGAATAAATTCTTATTAGTTTTAACACTGATCTCTTGATTTAGTCAGTTTTTCTATATAGGTGTTCACATTGTTAACAAATAATTGGTTTTATTTTTTCCCTTGCAATTTTTATGTACCTTTGCATCTAATTTCATTTTCTTTTCATATATATTAACCAAAACCAATACTACGTTAAATATTACTAGAGGTAGTGGGCATCCTTGTTGAGCTAAGGGCATGAGCCAAAATCTATCCAATACGCAAAATAATGTTTTAATAAAATGTAAAAACTGGGCCGGGCGTGGTGGCTCATGCTTGTAATCCCAGCACTTTGGGAGGCCAACGCCAGCAGATCACTTGATGTCAGGAGTTCCAGATCATCCTGGCCAACATGATGAAACCCTGCCTCTACTAAAAATACAAAAATTGAGCCAAGGGCATGAGCAAAAATCTATCCAATATGTAAAATAATGTTTTAATAAAATGTAAAATCTGGGCTGGGGATGGTGACTCATGCCTGTAATCCCAGCACTTTGGGAGGCCAAGGCTGGCAGATCACTTGAAATCAGAAGTTCCAGATCATCTTGCCCAACATGGTGAAACCGTGTCTCTACTAAAAATACAAAAATTAGCTGGCTGTGATGGCGTGCGCCTGTAATCCCAGCTACTCAGGAGGCTGAAGCGGGAGAATCGCTTGAACCCAGGAGGTGGAGGTTGCAGTGAGCCAAGATCGTGCCACTGTACTCTAGCCTGGAAGACACAGCGAGACTCCATCTCTCTCTTTCTCTCTCTCTTTCTCTCTCTCTCTCTCTATATATACACACACACATATACACATATATGTATATGTATAGATATACATATATGTGTGTGTATATATAGATATACGCACACACACACACACACACACACACATACACACATACATATATATAAAACCTTGCTTCTCCAGTTCTGTTAGTTGTGATGTTAAGTTGTTAATTTGAGATATTCCCAACTTTTTAATGTTGATGTTTAGTGCTATAAATTTCCCCTTAACTCTGCCTTAGGTGTGTCCCAGAGATTCTGGTATGTTGTAACTTTGTTCTCAATAGTTTCAAAGAACTTCTTGATTTCTGCCTTAATCCCAATCACAACTGCCACAAGAAGAATAAAATACCTAGGAATACAGCTAACCAGGGAGGTGAAAGCTATCTACAATGAGAATTACAAAATACCGCTCAAAGAAATCAGAGATGACACAAACATATGGGAAAACATCCCATGCTCACGGATAGGGAGAATCAATATCAAGAAAATGACCATATTGCCCAAAGTAATTTATAGATTCAATGCCATTCCTATCAAAACACCAATGATATTCTTCAGAGAACTAGAAAAAAATATTTTAAAATTCATATGAAACCAAAAAAGAGCATCAATACTCAAGACAATCCTAAGCAAAAAGAACAAAGTAGGAGGCATTATGCTCCCCTACTTCAACCTATACTGTGGGGCTATAGTAACCAAAACAGCATGGCACTGGTACAAACACATGGACCAATGGAACCGAATAGAGAGCCCAGAAATAAGGCTGTACACCTACAACTATCTGATCTTTGGCAATGCTGACAAAAACGAGCAATGGGAAAAGAGGTCTCTCTTTAATAGACCTTGCTGAGGTCAGCTAAGCCAGTTGACTAGCTATATACAGAAGATTGAAACTGGACCCCTTCCTTACACCATATGCAGAAATCACCTCAAGATGGATTAAAGACTTAAATGTAAAACCAAAAAGTATAAAAACCCTGGAAGATTTACCTAGGTAGGTAATATCTAGGTCCCTCTGGACATAGGAATGGACAAAGATTTTATAATGAAGACGCCAAAAGCAATTGCAATAAAAGCAAAAATTGACAAATGGGATCTAAGAAAACTAAAGAGATTCTAAAGAAACTATCAAGAGAGGAAACAGACAAACTACAGAATGGGAGAAAATTTTTGCAAACTATGCATCTGACAAATATCTAAATCTAATATCCAGCATCTATAAGGAACTTAAACAAATTACAAGCAAAGGCAAACAACCCCATTAAAAAGTGAGAAAAGGACATGAACAGACACATTTCAAAAAAAGACTTTCATGCAGCCAACGAGCATATGAAAAAAAGCTGAATATCACTGATCATAGAGGAATGCAAATCAAAACCACAATGAGATACCATATCATACCAGTCATAATGGCTCTTATTAAAAAGTCAAAAAATAACAGATGCTGGCAAGGTTGTGGAGAAAAGAGAACACTTGTATGCTGTTAGTGGGAGTGTAAATTAGTTCAACCACTGTGGAAAGCAGTTGAGTGATTTCTCAAAGACCTTAAAACAGAACTATCATTTGACCCAGCAATCCTATTACTGGTATATACTCAAAGGAATATAAATCATTCTATTATAAAGACACATGTATGCATATGTTCATTGAATATTGTTTTCTTTTGTTTGTGGCATCATTTGCTGAACAAAAGTTTTAATTATTAGTCTTTTACATTATGGTTTTGAGTTTAAAATTTCTTTATTATTTGGCCATCAGATAGATATTTATTTTCTTCTGAAAGTTTTAGAGTGTTACTTTTTATTTTGAATACTTAAACCATTCACAGTTATTTTTTGTTGCTTTTTACAATGTGAAGTACTAGTATTTTTTTTCCATGTAGGCAACCGATTTTCTCTGAGTCATTTATTTATCTGCCATGCCTTTCAATTTTTTTTATAAATAAAGTTTCCTGACCCTTGAGGATTTTTTCCTGGCCATCTGCTCAGTTTCTTTGGTCTGCTAGATTATACCTGTGCTGTACTAAAATATTTTATGTAATATTATACTTGATAACTAGAAACAGCTCTATTTTATCATTTTTCTTCAAAATTTTTTAGTCCTTTGGTCTTTTATGTAAATTTTAGGGTCACCTCTCAAAATTCAACAGCAAACTTTATTTTTGTTATTTAATTGAACTTTCATGACATTTATATATTAACTTCTTGTTAACATATCAATCTTCATGATATTCATCTTTATGACATACTGTATTCACGTCTTCTTTTGTGAACATTAACAATAGATTTTTTACTTTATCATACAGATATTATGAGTATTTTGTTAGATATATTTCCTGGAGTCTTAGACTTTCTGCTGCTATTGTTAAAAAGTTCTTTTTAAAACCGTGTTTTGAAGTGGTCATTGCAGGTGACATAGGAAAGATATTGCTTTTTGCCTTGATTTTTTCTCTTTGTCTGGTTTTCACATAATTTTTTACCAGCTTTATTTTGAATAATAACTGAATAATATGTATCTTTTCATCCTCCCTTTTCAACCTTTCTGTGAGATCCAACTTTAGATGCATTTTCTGTAAACAACATGTAGTTAGATATATTTAATTACTTTGATTAACTTTGTCTTTTATTTGATGATTTAAGTGAATCAACATGAATTTGTGGTGATTTGGAATTAATCATGTGTTTTTCAAATTCCTTTTTCATTGTACTTTTTCTACTCTTTTCCTTCTACATCCTTAACGAAAGCTTTTAGCTATCGGTAACAGAAAATCTTACTTAGAATGAAGAAACAAACAGGAAATTTTTTTTCTGATGTAACAAGAAATCTAGAGGTAGACATAGGTTTACCACCTCAATATTGGTTTAGGAACTGGGTTTTTTCTTTATTTTTGCTCTATATTTTTTTTTCTTTCTTTCTTTCTTTTTTTTTTTTTTAGACAGAGTCTTGCTCTGTTGCCCAGGTGGAGTGCAATGGCTGTAATTTTTATTATTCGTTTTCATCATTTTTGTCTCATCGTTGCAAGATGCCTGCTACATACCCAGGGATCACTTTTGCCTTCTGGACAATAGTATGGGTAAGGGATATAAGGGTTTTACATCACAGGGTTCTTGCAAAGATGAAATGAACTAATAGAGTGTTCAGCATATTTTAAGCTCTCAGTAGGTGTTAGTTATCAACAGTTGTTCTACAATAGAAATTACTCCTTACCATCCAGTTATTGTAAACCTCTTTCTCACTAAAAGTTCAGCTAATATGCTGTACTACATTTGGTTGGCAGGAACACCACATTTATAACTCCAGAGGGTACCATTCACAAACCGGTTTATGTGAATAGTGCCTCTTGAAATTGGCTGTTTACATCTTACTTGTCCATATATGGGCAGTACTGGTCTCAGGCCTCTTATTAAATGAGACATTCAAGATTATTACAGTTTTTGATAAATACAAAATACAATTGCCATTAAAGTTGAAATTATTAAGTAGAGAATTTAGTAATCTATCTTAAACGAACTAATAGAACGTTTGTTCTGTGGACTAATTGCTATGGTTCCCCACTTCCTTTGAAAACCTGCTATCAATTTTCAGTCTTCTGGATTGATTGAAGATTGAAGTTAACCACCACTCTCTCCCAAGATGCCTTCTTAATGGAAAATACCTATCATCTCCCCAAATGCTTGAACAGCAAAATAAGCCTCTTGTATGTTTTTGTTTGTTTTTGTTTGTTTGTTTGTTTTGTTTTGAAAGGAGTCTCGCTCTGTCGCCCAGGCTGGAGTGCGGTGGCGCGATCTCCGCTCAATGCAAGCTCCGCCTCCCGGGTTCTCGCCATTCTCCTGCCTCAGCCTCGCGAGTGGCTTATTTGTTCTTATTCTCAGTTTACATAGTGATACTACAAATAAGTGGTTACTAACAATATTAGAATTCTTCTAAGCCCACATATGTCTGACATTTTCCTCAAATGGTAAAGACAGTATCTGTTACAAAAATTTATTTTTTTGAGACAGTCTCAAATAAATAAAAGAAGCTTGAAATTGTAAAAATTGGGTGAATCATAATATTCAGATTGGTTGTTGTATGTTGAGAGTACACCATTTGATGCTGCAGGGATTGGGCTATAACTTTAGCTCACATAATTTAATTCTTGGGAACAGACTCAAAAGCAGTTCCTCATAGTGGATTTGTATGAGTTTTCTGAGAAAGAGGAAGAGTAAACTATTTTTAAATAATCAAAACACTAATAAATATTCAACAAATAAGAGAAATAAATAAGCAGTAATTTTGAAAATAAATAAATTAATAAAAAATCAATAGATTTAAAAAATTTTTCATTTACCCAAATTAATTTATAAAAATTCTTCATTTCAGGTAAGGTAAAAAGATCATGTTCCTGACAATGTTTAATATAAATTTAATTAAATATATTTATTATATTATGACTTACAATATAAAGAAACTGCCATTTCTTGTTTATTTCTTCTAAAAATAACCAACAACCCCCTCCAGCCCCCCAAAAAAACCCAAAACAGAGTACATGTGCAGAACGTGTAGGTTTGTTCCGTAGGTATACGTGTGCCATGGTGGTTTGCTGCAACTATTTACCCGTCCTTTAAGTTGCCTCCCTTTGCCCCCCCACCCCCCAACAGGCCCTGATGTGTGTTGTTCCCCTCTCTGTGTCCATGTGTTCTCAATGAGTAACTGCCATTTCTGCTAATGCATGTAATTACATTTGTGTTCTTATGATATATATTGGTTTTCATCCAGGGTTCCTGGTTTATAACTCCCACAGCCCTTATTACAGTCTTTTGTTACAATGTTGGGTGTGTGAGGCTTCAGGGGCAGGCCTCAGGAAATAGAATCTCTCTCCTGCCCTCCTTTCAGCTGCCCCAAGGCAGAACTCTAATCTTCTCCCACCTTTCTGATGTGAGTCTTAAGACCCTCCCCAGGGAAGGTCCCACCCTGTACTCTGTGGGAAGAAATGTTGACATCATGAAGCTTCCATAAAAACCCAAGAGGATTGGGTTTGAGGAGCTTCTGGAGAGCTGAACACATGGAGGTTCCTGGAGGGTGGCATGCCCAGGGTGGGCATGGAAGCTTCTCGCCCCTTCCCCCATACCTTGCCCTGCACATCTCTTCATCTGTGTCCTTGATAGTAAACCTGTAAACATAAGGTTTCCCTGAGTTCTGTGAATTGTTTCAGCAAATTAATCATACCCACAGAGGAGATCACAGGAACCCCAACTTGAAGCCAGTCGGTCAGAACTTTCTAAGGCCCAGACTTGTGACAATACTTGTGTGTATTGGGAGGCAGTCTTGGGGACTGAGCCCTTGACCTGTGGGTTCTGACACTAGCTCCAAGTAGATAGTGCTGGAATTAAATTGGAGGACACCCAGCTGGTATCTGTAATTTGGTGTGTGGGGAAAACAGCCCCCTAACCTCTGACGTTTGGTCACAGAAATCTCTGTTGCTTGTTGTGGTGTGAGAATTGTGGAAAAACATGATTTGAGGAGAGGTTTCTTGAAATAACATTCCCTTCCTTTTCCAGAAAAAAATCTTCTATACATAAATGCTCAGTTACAGCATGCAAACTACTAATAATTTATTTCATTATTTTCATTTATTTTGCTTAAATCACAGGGACTGGCTATGTCTGTTTTAGAGGACTGATTTTACAGTGCATCCAATATTGTAAATCTACTGTGGCAACATATGCTTAGCCAGAAGAAGTCGAAAGAGAAGAGAGTAGAATGTTCTATTCTGGAAATAGTTTTCATGTCACATATAAAAATGATATACTAAATGAATTATGTATAAATTCTAAATGAGCTTTGAAACTTTTTTACGTTAATATAAAATAGTATAGAATATCAAAATCCATTTCAGAAATTTACTACGGTTCACTGTTATGTTTTTCATTTCAAGCAAAACTCTTCTAAAGTTTCCATAATATAAATATATTTGAAAGTGTCTTATATATTAGTATATACAGAGATGCCTTAACACAATCTCTTATTTTATCTGTCTAGTATCTTTTCTCCTCTTTCACCACTATCTCAAGAACATCTACTCCCAAATGCATATGGTTCTCTTAAGCTGGAAACCACCATACTCAATTTTCTTTGTCACGATGTTTGTTCCAGGTAAGTGCATCTGACCCACATAGGAAAAACCAGAGTGCTTCACTGAGGATGTTAGACATATTTTCTCCTTTGGGTCAAGAGTGTAAAACTAGGCCTCAAAGGAGCCAGCAACTTCATCCCTTGCCTTATAGAACAACCTGAGAAAAGGCCAACTTTCAGAGAAAAGCTGAGAAAAGATGTGAGAACTAAACAGGCTTGAGGCTGGTCTTTCCTGAGACTATGATATCTACATGTGAATTTCTTAGTATGGCCACCAGTAAACATTCTTTGGTTTTGAGTTTGTTTGTGTAGTTTTCCATCTCTTACCAGTGAAAATACTGCCTTATCTTAGAGTTAAAGAAATATCACATTTAAAAATTGCACCCTAGAGGGCCGGGTGTGGTGGCTTACGCCTGTAATCCCAGCCCTTTGGGAGGCCGAGGCGAGCGGATCACGACGTCAGGAGATCGAGACCATCCCGGCTAACACGGTGAAGCCCCGTCTCCACTAAAAATACATTAAAAAAGAAAATTAGCCGGGCATGGTGGCGGGCTCCTGTAGTGCCAGCTACTCAGGAGGCTGAGGCAGGAGAATGGCGTGAACCCGGGAGGCGGAGCTTGCAGTGAGCTGAGATCGCACCACTGAACTCCAGCCTGGGCGATAGAGCGAGACTCGGTCTCAAAACCAACCAACCAAACAAAAATTGCACCCTAGATGTAATGAAAAATTTAATGAATGTTAAAATTATTCAATATTGTTTTTAAATTAATTAAAAATAATTTAGGCATAAGAGAACATAAAGAATATATCATAAGAACTCATGCAATGGCTGGTCAGCTTAAGAAATCAAACAAATTCAGATGAAGCCAATAGGGTAATCCTTTCCCAATTGCTTCTCTCTCTCTTACCCCTGAAGTAATCATTATTAACTTGATTATTATAATTACCTTGTTATTTTAATTATATATAATTATATATGTATAGTTATATGTATTACATGTATGTATATATAGACACATACATACATGAATCCGGAAGAAATAGGCAAATTCTTAGCCCTTCTCACTGTATTAAATGATAAACCTGATACAGACATCATCATTTCTTTCCTGAATAATTGCAACAAATATTCGGAGGTCTTTCTTCTTTGACCCTTTTTCTCTTCAGAATATTCTCAGAAGAGTAATTAGGATCATCCTTTTAAAACTTGAGCCAGACTGTTTCATTCCTCACCTCAAAACCCTCCAATACTGTCCCACACCATGTTGTGAGAGTTCTTGCAGTGTTCAACAAGGCTTCTATTCTCTCTCTGACCTCATCACCTACCATTCTCTCCACTGCTCACTTCACCTGGGTCATACTCTTCCTGAAGGTGCTGGGCACACTTCTGCTGGTCAGCCGGGAACGTTATTTGTAGGATTCACACAGCTCTCTCCCTCATTTTCTTCAGTGATTACCCAAATGTCATTTTCTTGTGAGGCCTTTCCGGATAATATTATTTCCAAGATTTTTTTTCTTTTTTAATTGCAGATGCCCAGAATTGAATTGCCCGTATTCATCAATTCACAGCACACAACCACACAATTAACATCTGTCTCTGCCAGAACCTGTATTTGTTTGGTACTTTGTTTAGTTTATATTTTTCCCTTTTATCTTCCTAACTTTATCATCCTCATTACCCTCCCAACCAAAGGCAACCAGTCTTGAGTATTTACTGTATTTCTTTTCAATTCAACTTCTATGTATTTGTTTACATGAATGTTTACAAAAAGGTATATCTGTGAGAATGTCTAGTTTGGCTTTCTATCTATTTATTCTGAACTAAAATAATATCATGCTGTGAATCTCATTATTTGTACTCATTTATTTCTCAAATCTATATTTTTGAAATCTATTGATTTTATTATATGTAGATCTAGATAATTTTTTTCTGACAGTTGCATGGTATTCCATTACCTGCCTATAATATATTTTATGTATCTGTTCCTCTAGTTATGGAGAAATAAATATATTGCCTCCAGCTTTTTACAACCACAAAAAACTGGAAAACATTTCTTTACTAATGCCTTTGTAAATGTTTACTTACCAAATAATTTAAGTTTCTTTGGTATTATTTTATATTTCATTTTTTCCTTTAGCATCACAAAACAATTATTCTTTATTATTCCAGGACAGTGGTCCTCAACCTTTTTGGCAGTAGAGACTGGTTTTGTGGAAGACAATTATTCCATGGATTGGGGGCTGTGGGGGATGGTTTCAGGATGAAACTGTTTCATCTCAGATCATCAGGCATTAGATTCTCATAAGGAGCACACAACCTAGATCCATCACATGCGCAGTTCACAATAGGATTTGCATTCCTAAGAGAATCTAATGCCACTGCTGATCTGACAGGACGCAGAACTCAGGAGGTGATGCTCGCTTGGCTGCCACTCACCTCCTACTGTGTGGCCTGGTTTCTAACAGGCCACAGACCAATACAGGTCTGTGGTCCTAGGGTTGGGGACCCCTGTACTAGAAGAAATAAAGCTTTCAAAGTTATAAGCTAAGAAATTATTCTATATATTTCTATAGCCCACTATCTTCCCATCTCCCAATCATTTCAGCTCATAGTTTTGCAAAAGAGATAGAACTTAAAAAGATCATTACAATTACAGGGTGATTGGCGCAATGATGGAGGCACTGACAGGAGCAAGAGAAAACTTCCTTAACAGAGCCAGATGGAGAGCGCCCACAGATAGGTTCTTGAAAAAGTAAGCTGAGGGGTGGGTCTCAAAGGATGAAAAGGTGTTTTCCAGGATCAAGCATTTTGGGAATGGGTGATCATATTAAGCAAAGAGAACAGCAGGAGCAAACTTAACAAGAGAAACTGCAGAGCCTGTGTGGAAGACTCAACACAATTTTGATATAACCAGATGTAAATTGGGAGAAAGGACATGTCAGGAGATAAACTGGAGAAGTAGAAAGAGGGGCTGGTTGTGGTAAAACCTAGCTAGAGTTATATGGTTCATGAGGTCCACAGAAATATTTTATGCTAGAGAGTGACAAAGTCAGATTAGATAGTGGCTGTAAAAGAGATGTGAAGATGATGATAATTCATCTTCAAAAACTTCTAAGGTAGATTAGGAGATCAGTGTGGACACTAGGCATTTCTTTTGGTGAAATGTGATGGAAACCTAAAGTTAGGCAGTAGTTAGAATGAAAAAAAGGAAAGAGATTTAAGAAATCCTGAAGAGGTAAAATCTGCAAGGATTTGGCAATTGCCTAACCGTGGAAATGAGACAGTGATTAGAAGAATAATGTAACTAAAACCAAACCTGAGATATAAAATACAGGAGGAGAAGAAATTTACAGGTTAAGAGCCATAGTATTTTCTTCTATCCTCTAGCAAAACAAACAAACAAAACTACAATCTGATATATTTTTCTATACCAATAAATTTGCATATTTAGAGTTTTAAATCTTAAAAGTTTGTTTAAATCGTTAACAAATTATTCTTAATTAGTTAAACAATTATGTTTAAGGAACATAAAATTGTATATTTCCATATCTCCATATTATCATGTTTGCCATTACAACAATTCAACCTAGATTGATTCTAGATCGTATTTTGCAAAATGAATAATTAGTGACTCATTAATTAATAAAGACACAACTTTTTGTTTTGATACTTTAAGTTCTGAGGTACATGTGCAGAGCATGCAGGTTTGTTATAGGTATACACGTGCCATGGTGGTTTGCTGCACTCATCAACCTGTCATCTACATTAGGTATTTCTCCTAATGCTATCCCTCCCCTAGCTCCCCACCCCCCAACAGGCCCTGGTGTGTGATGTTCTCCACCCTGTGTACATGTGTTCTCATTGTTCATCTCCCACTTATGAGTGAGAACATACGGTGTTTGGTTTTCTGTCCTTGTGTTAGTTTGCTGAGAATCATGGTTTCCAGCTTCATCCATGTCCCTGCAAAGGACATGAACTCATCCTTTTTTATGGCTGTATAGTATTCCATGGTGTATATGTGCCACGTTTTCTTTATCCAGTCTATCACTGATAGGCGTTTGGGTTGGTTCCAAGTCTTTTCTATTGTGAACACACAATAAACATACGTGTGCATGTGTCTTTATAGGAGAATGATTTATAATTCTTTGGGTATATACCCAGTAATGGGATTGCTGGGTCAAATGGTATTTCTAGTTCTAGATCCTTGAGGAATAACCACACTGTCTTCCACAATGGTTGAACTAATTTACACTCCCACCAAGACTGTAAAAGCATTCCTACTTCTCCACATCCTCTCCAGCATCTGTTGTTTCCTGACTTTTTAATGATAGCCATTCTAACTGGCATGAGATGGTATCTCATTGTGGTTTTGATTTACATTTCTCTAATGACCAGTGATGATGAGTTTTTCTTCATGTGTTTATTGGCTGCATAAATATCTTCTTTTGAGAAGAAGACACAACTTTTAAAAGCAGGTTTTTAAATAACTCAATAATTTCATCTCATTCTATTGTTTTAACCCATGCCACAATTATTTATTTCCAGGAGCGTTTTAGTAGAATATTTTATTTAAAATATATTTAAATACTTTATTAAGAAAACTATGAACAAGAAAATGATTAACTTTAGTTCTACAAAAGTTTAAAATATCACATGACGTGCTAGACAAATCTCAATCTGAGACTGCTAATCCATGTTCCTAAAGTCATTGGAAAATGACATTCTGGAAATAGATCATATTCAGAGCTCTAAAACACCCATAAACCAATGAGCAACAGCTCATATTAATTTTACTCAGATAAACTCACGGCTGACTATTTAAAAAAACCCTGTAAATTGGCTGAGGAATAACACAGCAGTCTCAACATCAAACTAAATTGCAAAATTTGACCTAAATTTTGACCTAGCCAAGTCATCATTAATTAAAAGGAAATGAACTCAAACTATCAGACTATCAAAAGTAATAAACACTTGAAGAAAAAGCTGTCTTGAAAATAAATTGTTGAGAAATAGTTCCTGTTCATTTGGCCTCTTGCAGTAACTGAAGTCATTATAAACTACCTTTTCCACCAACTAAAATAGAAGTCAAATAGAGCATGCCTCTGGTTAGCTAAACACAGAACCATAGAATGTGAAATGGACTCAGGCACTTCAGCACTAAAAGATGGCTTCAACCAATAAGTGTATTTATCTGATTTAATTTAATCAATCTGATTTAAATTTATAATTTATATATTTATGATTTAAATTTAATATATATTTAATATATAATTAATAATTATATATAATATATAATTTATATATAATTAATAATTTATATTAGTATATAAATTTAATATATATAATTGATATAGTTATGATTTAAACTTAATAATCTGATTTAAAAAGCATTAATGAATGAAATAAATATTTTTTAAAAACCAAAATAATAACTCAGTTAACTGCCTTACTCTAGAAGATGTAGTATTTTGATAAATTACATTTCTTCTGGTTCAAGAAATTCCTTAATGTTCTCAGCGAACTTTGTGAAATGCATATAGCAACATTTAAGTCTTCCCAAAATAGAATTGTAATTTCTTTTGATTAAGCCTGCTTTTCATACCTTATGGTAGCATTCTGAATTTCTGATCTCTTTGTATAATACCATAGATGCATAAAATAAAAAGTATTAAACTAATTCTCCTACTATTTTCAGGATATGCCCAAAATGTTTTAATTAAAAACGTCAAATCCTTCTTCTAGACTTGTCTGCCAGAGATTTTCTGCCTTTACTGAGAGTGCTCCACACACACACTCACATACTAATCAGAATGTGGAAGAGTCGAATTGAATCAATTCTTTAAGTAACATAAAATTGTGTATTTCCATAACACGTCTCCATGTTATCATGTTTGCCGTTGTAACAATTCAACCTAGACTGATACTAGATAATATTTCTGCAAAATAAATAGTGACTCATTAATTAATAAAGACAAATTTTAAAAGCAGGTTTTAAAATAACTCAATCATTCTATCTCATTCTGTTCTTTTAATCTGTATCACAATTATTTTCAGGAGGATTTTAGTGGAATATTTTATTTAAAATATATCTAAATACTTTATTAAGAAAACTATGAAAAAAAATGATTAGTTATATAAAAGTTTAAAATATATAATGAAATGCTAGACAAATCTCAATCTGAGACTGTTAATCCATGTTCCTAAAGTCACAATCCTAAAGTCACAAGAAAACCACATTCTGAAAATACATAATATTCAGAGCTCTAAAACACCCATAAATCAATGAGCAACAGCTCATATTAATTTTACTCAGATAAGCTTGCTTGTAACTGTAAAAAATAGTTGAATCAATTAGATTGATTCAATTAGATTCTTAAATCGAAGAAGCATCAATTAGAATAACCTAATTGAATTAGAGTCTTCCATATTTGAAACAACAGGTCAATGTCATTATCTATATAAAGCTAAGAAAGCAAAATGTGGCCAGGCACAGTGGCTCATGCCTCTAATCCCAGCATTTTGGGAGACTGAGGCGGGTGGATCACCTGAGGTCAGGAGTTTGAGACCAGCCTGGCCAACATGGTGAAACCCCATCTCTACTAAAAATACAAAAGTTAACTGGGCGTGGTGGCAGGCACCTGTAATCCAGCTACTCGGGAGGCTGAGGCAGGAGAATCACTTGAAGCTGGAAGGTGGAGGTTGCAGTGAGTCGAGATCGCACCACTGCGCTCCAGCCTGGGCAATAAAGTGAGATTCTGTCTCAAAAAAAGAGAGCAAAATGCAAACATTCTACCTAATTCAAACTCCAAATTACTCTTTTAACTCATCTTTAAAGTACTATATTGTCTTATAAAGCATAGTCAATTTATTTCTTCAAAATCCCGTGAAGGTTTGCTTTTCATCATGTTCGAACAGTTTCCCTAACTTTTAAAATCAGTTTTTACATTGCCCTCTGCTGTTAACATTTCTTTTCTGTTTAATCTTTCTAAATCATACTTGTGTTTAGTGATCATTTTACATGATGACCATTATCACATCATTTCATCTTTATGATGCTGGTGCCCGAAGCTGTTTTATTTGCATTTTGATTCTGAATCATTTTTAGAACAAAGAACCTCATTTGTCTTCCTAGATCACTCTCAGAGCTGTCTGTCCTGCTTTTCGCACCTCTGCCCCTGCTTGCATTCCAGTCCTTATCTATTGAATTGCCTCCAAACGAGTCCCCCAACTTCAGATAAGATCCTCTCTAACCCATCCTTCAGAACCCCAAATCTGTGTAATTTTCCTTCTTAAAATCAATCTATATCTTCCAATTGCCTATTTACAGTGTGGAGTCTAAGTTCTTCCTGACAGCTTCAGATATTTCATAATTTATCTGAACTGTGACTGCTCTCAAATCCTATCTTGCACTACTCCCTCCAGCGCAGAACTATGCTACAGTCAGGCAACTTGTCCACAAGTTCACCAATATCACGTATTTTCTCATGTTGCAAAGGCTTTGACAATGATGTTTCCCCATATTGGAATCCTTGCCAGCATTCCTTCTACTATGAATACATATTACTTTTATTTCAAGAACTATTTAAAAAAATATTCCTGCCAGGAAGGCTTTTCTTATCCTTCCTACAGCAGAGTACCTTAATATTCAATATACATTCACATCTGTCAGAACTCTATGCCAATTGTTCATGAACATGTTTGTCTGTCCTACTACACTGGTTCTTTTTGGCAGAGACACTGCATTAATAATCTTCTGTAGATCCAGCTGCGCTTGTGAAAAGAGAAGCACAGTCAATATAAATTCAGAGTTACTATACTTTTAAGTAAATTATGTAGTTTTTAATTGAAGTAATAATCTCTCTGAGTTCAGTTTTAGGGTGGTAAACTCCTTAAAACCTGTATAACAACATACAGGATTAACAAGACTTTTCAAGGTGTCTTAGGTATGGCAGGCATATGCAAAAATCTAATGTTTTAACACACTCTCTCAATGTTTTTGTGTAAACATTTATTTCAGTTTCGCAATTATGTTATTAAGGTTGGTTTAGCCTTTGGTTTCTCTGAGTTTTTATTACTTGATTCAAACATATTTATCAAGTGGGCACTTTGTGCAAGTCCCTGTGCCAGACACTGGGAATAGCATAAATACGGTAATACCTTATTATAAAGGATTCCTGTGAGAATTGGGTTCACCAGATTTTTTAAAGGACCTAGCCAAATGCTTGGCAAATAAATGAAAGTTGTGTTGTTGTTATTGTTATTAAGGGGTTTGTGTAGATTTTTTTAAAAAAGATGAATCATCAATTAGAATGAATATAAATAATCATTCAATATGACAATATCATAATAATATGTGTAAGATAAAGCCCTGCTACTGCTACTTAGCATTCCATAACACCAACAATAGTTGTCTGGGCTCCAGAGTGCAATGTAAATTAGAGAAATCACAATGGTGTGCTATTTCTTGGATAAGTGAGCATCCACTTTGGATGATAACAGCCTAAAATTGCATCTGCTTAGTGCAGGACAAAACATGACTTGAGTAGATAGCAAGTCCTTTTTCAAAGTAAAAGATTTAAACAGAATAATCCACCTCCACAGTTTTTAGTGGTACAAAGCAAATAATAGAATATATTGATGATTTTAGAGATTAGCAGTCAACATTTAATAAACAAGCTGTGTTGTGCTTTCCTCAGAGTCTATTATCTCGTGTCCATAGTACTTTCTTATCTGTAAAACTGGTTCCTTAAGGGAAAGTAATACTTGGTTGACCAAGGGCTTCTTTTCTGAAATGTGCTGGTCTTTTCTTTTTCCAGTTTTACTTTTTTACTTACCTATAAAATATTTTCTTATACAGAAAATTATGTAAACTTCCAGGATTTTCTAGATATAATAAATTTTAAAAAATTTTCATTAAAGTAATAAACTAAAAGGTGGGAAAGTGAATTATCTTCAATAAATTTTGTCATTTTTAAAAATTCTGAATTTTTTCTTCCTGAACATTTATAAATTTATTTTTAAACTTTCAGTGAACTGGAAAAAGAAGTTAAAAGTTAAAAACTTTGAATTTCATAGACTTTTTTTCCTCCAGAGATTTTGTATTTTACATCATCAAAGTCAGGTTTTTTAAAAGTGAAAAAAACTTTCTCTATTCAACAATGAAGCTATCAGGAGGTCTTTAATGAGTGTGTCAGATAAAAAGAGTACTTAATTGTAATACCTACTACTGAAGAGTTTTAAGAGAATGGATATTCATAATAATTTAGGGGAATGGTAGAAAATTATTTACTTCAAATAATACCATTTTTTTCTTCTTATTATTATGCAGTTTGATTCCTATTGCTTGTTTTTCATTTCTTCATATAACAAAAGGTTGAATAATTTTATGGCTCTTTTTTTTTTTTGACAAGGTCTCACTCTGTCATCCAGGCTGGGGTGCAGTGGCATGATCTCAGCTCACTGTAACCTCTGCCTCCTGAGCCCAAGCGATACTCCCTCCTCAGCATCCCAAGTAGCTGGGACCACAGGCATGGCGCCACCACACCCAGCTAATTTTCGTATTTTTTTTAGAGATGGGGTTTTGTCATGTTGCCTAGGCTTCTCTTGAACTCTTGGACTCAAGCAATCTGCCCACTCCAGCCTCCCAAAGTGCTGGGATTACAGGGTGAGCCACCTCACCCCACCACCATTTTATATTTTTGACTTCTTTTTTAAAAAAATAAAATCTCACATCTCACATATCTCAACCCGTTATTTTACCGAACTCATAGTCAAATTGCTAAGAGAAACCCACTGCCAATTATTTTTTTTAAATCTGTTTCCTGGGTTCTTTACATTCATATTTCTTAAAATAATTTTGTATTGCCTTTATAATATATGGGCTTTTTAAATTTTGGTATATGAAGATTTAGCTTTTCTCATCCTTGTCATATATTACGATCTTGGTTAAACTAACATTTGGAATTTATATTAACTTGCCTCTTTAATATTCATTTTTGAGAAAATTTGGTTCTTATATGGCAAGCTTTACTTAATTTTCTTTTTTTCCTTAAGTTATTAATTGCTTTTTTTTTTTACAATTCGCTCAGCTTTCTGCGTACCTATCTCTAACTGTTCTCAACACTTCCAAGAGCACCTCTTTCAATACTATTTTTCACTTGGCCAGACACATCATGAATTTTGTCAATGCTCTTCTCTCCTGCATGAGCACCCCATTCACTGCCCACGTGCAGCCTAGAACTCTCCATATATTTTTGTTTTTGAAATTCGTGTTATGGTGGAGATGTCAAAGACAAGGAAGAGTCACATTCTATGCCAGTGCTATCCCTGGCTTTGACCTTCCCACCTGGGGTTTTTAAGGGTAGTACCTATGTGTGTGGCCGACGCTCAGGTGAAGATGCAAAGCAGTATCAGCTCTGGTTTTGAGTCCCAGCCAAGTTGATGGACACTCTGCCGCAGTTGCACCCATATGTTGAGAAAACAAAACTACAGGCTGGCTCTTCTGCTAGTGCTTGGTCACAGTGTATACCAGTTCACCTCCCTGGAGACAAACGCCATTCGAAATTGGGTTTTCAGGGCCCTGGAAGTATTGAATTAATCTCTAAACTTCTCTAGTTTCTGTGGAGGGCCAATTTTTTTTATTGGGCTACTAGAAATGTCTGTACCCCAAAATACATGGGAATCAAATTCAGATTTTTAATAACTGCTAATGAACTCTTCATATTTGATATTTGATCTCCACATTTGATATTTGATTTCCATATCTCTATATTTGATAAGATTTTCTCAGGTGTTCTTTATGCCTGCTGCATGGCTATTGTCTTTAGATTCTCCTTATCTCATCATGGAAGTCCTCTATTCTTTGTGTCTCTGGATTCACAAAGTATTGTGTGTGGGGTCAGGGTATGCTTCTATGTGGTTAATTCGCTATTTTGGTGGAGCATATCTTCAAGGAGCTTCCTGAGATAGGTAGCATGGAAAGTAAAATGTTTGTACTTAGCCTTCTCAAAAATCATTTCCTTTTACCCTTACACTTGATGGATAGTTTGTGTTAGATTTTTAGTTTACAATCCCTTCCATTTAAAATTTCAAAGGCATTAATTATTATCCTTTTCTTTTTAAGCCTCTATTATTGCTGTTGAGATATCGTTTGAATTCTTATCTTTTCTTCTTTGTAGTTAACGTACATTAATTAATTATCTGGAGAAACCTTTAGCATCTTCTCTACGTTTTCTGTTTTCTGAATTATTATGATGTCTCACGCTGCAAGTTTATTTATTTCTTGTCTTTCTAATGTGGAGATTTGTTTTCTTTAGTTTAAAGAAATGTGTTGTATTTTGAATAACGTTTCTTTTCATCTCTCCCTTTTCTGTGGAATTACTGCTAGTTAGAATTTGAGCCTGATAGGTTAATCACTTAATTGTTTTTTAATAATTATAAGTTTTTTTGTTGTTATTGCTAATTTCTCTTCAGTGAAAAGCCATTGTTACTGACATGCTAGTTCATAAATTTTTTTTCTTTTTTTTTTTTTTTTTTTTTTTTTTTTTTGAGACACAGTCTTGCTTTGTCATCCAGGCTAGAGTGCAGTGGCACGACCTCGGCTCACTGCACCCTCTGCCTCCTGGGCTCAAGCGATGCCCCCTATCTTAGCCTCCCTAGCAGCTGGAACCACAGGCATGCGCTACCATGCCCAGCTAATTTTTGTATTTTTTGTAGAGACGGGGTTTATGCCATGTTGCCCAGGTTGGCCTTGAACTCCTGAGTTGAAGCAATCTGTTCTCCTCGGTCTCCCAAAGTGCTAGGACTAGAGACATGAGCCACTGCGCCTGGCTCTCCAGTTTATAATTTTTGACCTTGTTTGTTCTTGTTTGTCCTTTTTTGAGCAAAACATGGGAGATCCTTATTTAGTATAGTGATCATTTAGTGATCATACAAGTTACAATATTTTAATCTTATTTATCATTTGCTCATTGCTTTTATTTTTGGTTTATTTTACTATATGTGTTATTATTATTTATAGACAAAAATGTTTATTATTTCTTTGAAGCCTTATGGCTTCTTATCTTGCTTAGGAAATTGCCCCTCATATTCCACTAAGCCTGTACAAATCTTACTTGGATTTCCTTCAAACATTTTTATTATTCCATTTTTAAATTTAATCTCCTTAATTAACCTGAAAATTATTTGGTATATGGTAATGACTAGAAGTCTAATTTTCTTTTCTTACTGAAGAAAATTATGGCAGAACTATTTGATAAACCAACTTTTTCTATGGAATGAAATATCTGTTCCATTGGAATTTATAATAATCATTTACTTTAAAACCATATATGGACTGGTTAAGTTATCCATTTGCCCATTTATCTATTTGTCTATTTTGTGTAATTTAATGTTGTTTTGAATACAGAAATTTTTAATATCTGATAAAACAAGATTTTTAATTTTGGCAAGCTACATAGCACCTGTAATGTAAATGGTGTTATTAGTTGATTGCCTATCATCATTAAGTATTGGATGTTTTCCTGCCCAAACCAATTAAGATAGTCTTATGAATTTAAAATGTTTTTTCATGAAATAGCTCTGTAACCTTCAATATCAAAATAAAAATGTTGGTAAGTACAATGGTAAGAGTCAGGTGATGTTAGATTAGCTATCTGTAGATTCTAACTCTTTTTAATAAGTTGACTATAAAACTCTGCTTTGAATGGTTTTACTGCTCTAGTTCTCTGTTTTCTTGACTATATAAGGTGGAAATTATTATTTCAATTATTCCATATCTATATCTCCTACTGTCTTGTGACAAATGAACCAGACAATGTGAAGGCATTTAGAACAAAATAAACATTATATATTTGTGATATTTACACATCTTTTGTTAATTTTCTACATCTATACTAAGAAAATATTCTTGGCTTATATTCGTTGTGTTATTTGCTAAGTTTTAGTATTCTTATCTTGATTCAAAAGCCTCTCTCTCATAAGTAAATCAGAGCAACAACTCCCAGTGCAACATTTCAGAGACTTCTAGGTAAAGAAGACATTTCAAAAAATATTGAAAACTACTATTTCAGATATTAATCTCTGAAAGTCTAAAATATTCTGGGCTTTCATCAAGCAATTGACAATGCTTTGATGTGTGCTAAGACGAAGAAATACCCAAGATCGCTTCCAGAAATTTAATTCATTTAACTTTTTAGTGGTCAATCGATACCCTCCAGAGATGAATCTGGCTTAGATTTAAGACACAGATTTTTAAAAAATATTTCAATAATAGGGTATTTTGCAGTAAATGCCATTAATTTTAAATTCCCAGTGAATAATCCAGGACTAGAAATAAGTGACACTGGATTTTAGATTCACGTAATTTAGGAAAATGTGATAAGGTGATAAGGTCCAGGGAAATCACACCCCAAATAGGAGGAGGCTTTCCCCTTGCACCCTTTGCTCTAGCTTCACTGAATAACTTCTCTTCTATATACCCCCAATCTTTTCTTCCATCTGTGATGTTCCTCATGGTGTTCTTCAGTCTGAACTTGGCCTCATTCATTGCCACATGTCTAGACCTTGTTCAACTTTCAAAGCAGTCACTACTTGTAACCTCTTTCACAAAACCATGCTCCCCACCATCACTTCTACAGATGCTGCCATGCTTTTCAATGCTGAAATTCCAAAGCATATAATTTTCCCTCTGGCTTATATATTTTTATTGTAATTAGTCATTGCATCATGGTTATTAAAGCCCCTTCTCAGGATGATTGTTAAAATATACAATAGGTGTGGTACAGTCACCAACCAATCTGAATGGATCCTGGCTGTACACACCTGGTTCAGCAAGCATGCTTACTGGCTGCTGATGAAATAGAACCAGCCATACTAGATGGACAGTATGCTCCCTCAGATCAGTATATGTACTGAATTGATCTCTGTAGGATCCAAAGTTTTAATATAGTGTTTTGCATATAATAGATACACTCATATATAGCACTAATCAACTTTGGAAATATAAGAAAGGTAGCCTAAGTATTGGGAAAAATAAGACAGCAAGGTCACATATTTGTGGAGTGAATTATTGGATGCTATAATAATAGCTGTTATTATACTCTAATTGAGGATCTTCCATAATGGTTTCATATTTTCTCTTTGAGAGTAGAGCCTAGCAAATTTCTAGAATGTTTGAGATTTATTTGTTCTGGAAACTGAATTTCCATTCTTACTGAAACTAAATTGGATTTTATAAAGATACTTAAGAAAATAAATGATTTATTAGGGGTATTTGTTCTTCAAAGGTATACAGCCAAGAAAATTAAGCTTCATGGAAAGTTGTGATTGTAATACTTTTTAAAGATGATAAACACCTGGTTTAGGAGACTTAATGGATCAAGGCAGCTACTACATGGATGCTCACTGGCAAAAAATAACTATTAAATACATCCATCTTAACTAATGGAAGGGTCAGCTAGCTTAAAGGATGTAATTAGATGTTTTTAGTGTAAATTGGGAAAACACTCATCTGTACAATTTGAAAGTCTAATTGGTTTGATTTAAATGTTAAAGAAAAGTGGTCGTGTATAGCTCTCATTGTCAACAAGTGCACAATATTTTATCAATCCTGAATAATGATCATTTCTTTGGATGGGATCAAAATGACTCTCACATATACTTCTAATTTAATAATAGCTACAACTTAAAGGATGTTAACTGTATGCCAAATACAACACTTATTTTTGCTTTACATATGCACTTAATTAAATTGTGGAAATTCAATGATTGATTAGTGGAGATAGTCTGAAAAAGTATTACTGTTTTATACTACAACTTAGGTTGAATCCCAGAACCCTTCATAGGGCTCACATTCTGACCCATTGAACTAATCTCATGCTGGGATTAAAATTCATAAACAACTTCTGTGAATAAGGTAAAACATTATTAGAGAAAATGACTAAGTGGAAAATTATTGTTTTTAAATTAGAAGCAGAATAAATGGACTTGCTTAATAAGAATAACAAGAACATGGCTATTTAACATTAAAAATACTCAATGACATTCTCAACAGAAATTGTAACTCCCTAAAACATTACTTTTTACATTCTGAACCCCATAAAGCAAAAACAAGAATAAAAATTGTATGTGAACAAACCGTCTAAAAGTGATTACTTAAAATCTATGATATACTCTGGATTAAAGTATGCTGTCCTAAAGCAAATCTTTGTAGATGAGTATTTCTTAGAGTGGACTAAGGTATTCATAAAACAAAGTGCTTAAATGAATAATATAAGTAATCGAGATGAAGTGGAACATTTCAAGGATCTATAATTTCAAGAAAACTGTGCTTATCTACAGAGTCACAGTTTTTCTGATGTCCTGGTGAAGGATTGAATGGAGGAAAAATACAATAAAAGAACTATATATTTTGTCTAAAAAAAATTGAATTGACTCGTTTGTTTTTGTTCCCCCGCTAAATTGGCTGTTTATGTTCACTGACAACAAAGGCAAATAAAGATAATTATTTGGATCACTCAAAACAAACAAAACACTGATTAAACATATATCTCAAGTACAACACAAAGTTGATTCCATATTTCTACGTGGACAAAACAAAATCTTGCACTTTGCATTGATGTGTCCTCCTATCTGCATAGAGCAAATACATTCTTAATCATTTTCTCCTCACTCTGTTTATATATTCTTTCTAATTTAAAATTGCCTCTGAAAGTCTAATATTATTGCAGTTTTCTTCTCCATATTATTAACTTTTTAAAATATTTTGCTTATAGTGATTCATGCCCAATTCATATAGATACGTAGATTATAAATTTGATTATTGTCAAATGTTAATAGCAACTCAGTGAAAAACAACTTGTCCAAAATGTTGCTACCAAAAGGGCACTTGACTATAAATAACTCACATTATATTACATATTCTGTCTTGTTCCCATCCTCAACCCCCGCCCCTCTGCTCAATAACTAATCTAAGATCAACTGTTGATCAGGGTCAGTTCGCTAAAGGGGAAACATATTGACTCATAAGTTTAAATAAAAATAAAGTCGCCTCTGATTGGCTCCTTCTTGGAAAGCAAGCAAGTTTTGTGTGGGACTGATATGAAAGAAGAAAGCAGTATTAGGATGAATAATTTCTGTTCATTGACAGCTGTTAACATTTATACTAAAACAATTTTATTTATAAACTTTAGGATTAAAGAAAGGTAAAATTAAGTAGCTAAAACTATGCATGAATTGCTTCACTATATATCTAAATTCTAGACTAATACGAAAATCAATAGCTGCTAATTGTATAGATGATCATATTTGTTATTCATTTGCTCAACAAACATTCTCTAAGCAACTCTGTGGGCAAGGCTGTCTGCTAAGTGCTGGGATACCAAGAGGAATAAGCGCTATCTCTGGTTTGAGAGTTGTTCAGCCTTATGGAGGAGACAAAAATAGAAATAGGTAATTTAAATCAAAGAACAATGATAAAATATGCAAATTCTGTCAACTGTGTTTTAAGAGCATAGTAGGAAAAGGAGGCAAAATTGGGGAGAGGGTGAATTAAGTGCAGGGCATACGTAGCTTGATGCATCCATGTAAAATATTGTGCTGGCCCTATACTTATATGCTCTCAGATGCATTCTTCGGTCTCTTCCTTCCTTTCTTCTCAGAGTAGCTGCCCTGTACAGTTTTCCAGACCTCTCCGTCAACTGGCTTCCAGTTGGTTTTGATCAGGCACTGGCAGAGATTGGAGAATGGGAGGAAGAGAGAACCAGGATATTTCTCCCCATCCTTGTCTGTCTCAGGATATATTTCTGGCATTGGCTGAATTTCTTTCATGTTTCTTGCTCCCAGAAAGCAGGCTTGTCCTGGTTTCGGCTCTCGCTGTCCTCTAGCTTATGGGGACAATAGCTATTTTTCTGCTGCTTCACTATCCCCCACTTAGTTTCTCAGCTTCTTTCACGAGTATATCATCAATTGCTAGTCATTTGTTTCCTCTATTTCAAATATTCAGAGCCATTTCTAGTTTCCTGGTTGGACACAAATGCCTGACATACTGAGTCTAAATTCCAGGAGTTTGGGCAGCAGGTTTGGGACTAATCAACATATAAGAGAGAGTTCATGAGTGTACACAGAGATACGGTAGGTAAAAAGATTGGTAGATTGAGGGTGGAACCCTGAAGTATATAGCAAGAGATAAAGGAAACATAGCTTTTGAAGGCGTCCAAAGATTAATTTACAATTTCGAATAGAACAAGAAAAATGTGGCATTCACTTAAGCCCCTGAGAAAACCTAGGTATCACTTAGACCCAGCATTTGTCAGATGAGGTTTCTGAAGATAGAGAAATTAGGTCACATATCTAATAAAGACCAGAATTGAAACCTAAACCTGTTTCCCTATGTAGTGCTCTTGTGATAACACACCCATTATCATGGTAATAGTGTGACATTTGGTGTCATTTTCACTTGTTCTGTCCTTGTTCCATGTGTGCACTTCAGTTTCCTTTTATATAAAGCCAATATATGTTATTAGTTACCTCATAGGTAATTGTAAGAATTAAATGAGACAGTGCATGAAAAGTACTTAGAATAAACTACTTAGAATAGTTAAATGTATAGAGAGAGGTTGGAATGACACATGAAGGACTATAGGGCTACTAGATTTTATTTATTTTATTTTTTGAGATGGAGTCTCCCTCTGTCGCCCAGGCTGGAGTGCAGTGGCGAGATCTGGGCTTACTGCAAACTCTGCCTCCTGGATTCAAGCAATTCTCCTGCCTCAGCCTCCTGAGTAGCTGGGATTACAGGTGCGTGCCACCACGACTGTCTAATTTTTGTATTTTTAGTAGAGATGGGGTTTCGCCATGTTGGTCTCGAACTCCTGACCTCGTGATCTGCCCACCTCGGCCTCCCAAAGTGCTGGGATTTCAGGCGTGAGCCACCGTGCCCAGCCAGGGATACTAGATTTTATCACAGTATTATGAAAGGTAAGCTTGTCATCGTAAAGCTTATAGATACTCCTTTTATATGTTTGCTGACGTCAAGGATTTTTCACATTTGGTAATAATTTATTATTTGTTTAATAAAACGAAATTTGAACTTAAATTTGGTTTGTCTTTAGAAGTTAGTTTAGCAATTAATTTTTCTGTAAAATGATTTTTACACCATTAATTTCTTCTCAGCTTCGTATATTTAAGAATTTCTATGGACTTAAATGAGGTTCCATGATTGATTTTCTATTTGCATGATATTTTAAACAAAATATATGTTATATTTTTAAGTTCAAGATTTCCCTCCCACCCTGGGAAAGTCTTCTGAGTCTTTTTCATGTCATCCTTCTCATTTTTCTTTCTCTTTTAATTTTTCAGTACCCCAAGTTACTTTAATGTTAAACACAAATGAGAAAATTGGGGAATTGTAAAATGAATACAGTCATTCTCATTTAATAGATAATGATATCTTACTACCTATTGCTTTTGCCATTAGTTTGTAACATTTAAATTCATGTTAAAAGAAAAACAACTGAAACACTTATACTGTAGAATGCAGATTCAGCCAAAATCCAATATTGTAAATTTTTACTTACCTTCAGTGTCTGCTAGTCCTACTCCTACCCCTGGCTGTTTTACAGGCTCTTGTCCATTCTGTCCCATCTTCCCTCTGTTTAGAAATAAAATAAAATGATATATTCAGTTATGATCTCATGAATGCAAAAGAGGCTAAATTTGCATAAATAAAATGACATTGATAGTAATGGCAAAACCTGCAATTACTTTTGCACAACCGAATATTTTTGGACTTGCAATAATTATTTGAATGGCACATACATACACAGTTAATTGCTCTATATCATAATTTTAAAATGTGAACTTGTTTATTATTCCTATTCAGGCCAAACAATATACCTCAACATTCAGTAGTTTTTATTTGTAGACTATTTATCAAAAAATAAGACCATCATGACATTTAGAAATTTTGTTTTAGAATTTTTTATTTATTTCTAACTCAACAATGAGAAGGGGCTTTATATTTTTATATGTTGTACTGATGAGTTATTCCAGTTTTTTTGGTAAAAAGAGCAATATTGAATTAAATAATATATAAAAATGATATTTTAATAAAATATTTCTTATTTCATGTATTTTTTTTTCAACTCCTTTCTGTGTTTTCCACTGTGTTGAGCAAACTGGCTTTTGTAGTCAGGCTGCTTGGTCTCTGTTTCTGGCTTTGCTATTTCTTGCTATGGGTAATGTAAGGCAAAGTACCTGGTCAAGACTGTTTCTCCTTTTGTGATATAAAGATAATAATATTAGCTACATTTTGATTATGAAAAAAAACACATGAAAAATGCGTGAAAAGGGTTAACAGAGTGCCTGAGAAATAATAAGCATTCAATAAACATGACATATTAACAGGTAGGCATGCTCGTAGTAGCCTTAGAATTCAACCAAAATCTGCTAATCACTTTTAGTTTTCAGCTTCAAACTTTTTGGAAAGTCAACTAGATGAAGAATTCAGGATACTTTGAGGACTGTAAGCTTAGAATGTTAATAATTTAACAGCTAAAGGACAGTAGACCACTTCTTATTTCTTCGGCTAGAGAAAAAGCTACATGGCACATGAAGAAGTTTGGAATTTGCCTTTATATGTGCTTAGATAAGGCGTTCTAAAAAGATGGAATAAAAAATTGTTACAGAAAGATGCTTGAACAAAAGAGCATCTTGATACTGCACTTTGTAGACAACACTTCTAGCATAGTGGGATTTACTAACAATTAATTATAACTTTCATAGGAAGTATTTGGTTTGCTAGACCTGCTGAAAATGTAACCATATTTATTTCTTAATAATCCAATTATATCTTACTTGAAAACTGCTCTAAAGGTCCTCTTATTCTACTTCAGAGAAGGTGCTGAAATGTTTCCGCACATAATAAAAGAACACATGTAAATTCAGAAATTATTTTATCTCAAAAGCCATTACATTGTTCCATTATAATAATTCTAGGTTAAAGGTTTAAGTACAAATTTTTATTAAGTGTGTATGTGAGGGACCAAGTTCATGCAAATTAAGCAATTTCCAACATTTCCATTTTACCATATATATGTTAAACCATGGTCTGCATGGTCAACATCTGCATACATATTTAAGTAACACACAAAATTTTAGCTTATGTAATTGCTTCATCAAGATTCAAGACAAGTAGTTAAGAAAAAAAAAAGAACTCTGCTCTATCTGTTAGCATTAGAGGGGAAAAAAAGCTTAATAGCAGTAATCTTACTTTTATCAGTACGCTACACTGGTAGAGTGAACCAAAACATACCTTGTTGCTGAGCCAAACTCTATTGAAAGTGCAGGTCTTTTTAGTATTGGTAATCTAGTAGATCAGAATACTAAAAAATAAATATTCTTATACTATCCCAGACTTTTAAAAAGTAGTTACTGTAAGTCTTAGTAATTGTAGTACAAGTACATTTTGATAATTTTTGGGGTTGTTCTTGAGTCTTAGACTTTATATGTTAATGGTGATACCCAGCCAGTCTTTGCTTTCAATTGAAACTGATTTTAACATAGGTACTTAGCCAATATGTGTAGTAAGTACATTTTGAAGATTATACAAAAAACTTTCATAGGATTGTGAAGCTAAATTAAGTGCAAAGGAAATGTAACTGTGAGTCGTGTGAAGGATGTGGTTTCTCTGAATTCCCAATGACTACACTTTAGCTCAGAACATTCTGGCTATACATTTTATAATTTATATTTTTAAATAATCGCTAGATATTTATTAAACACTTTTACTAGCCCAAGCTATAATTTTATTAGATACAATGGGGGATATAAAAGAACTGCCAAATACTACTTCTTACACATATCCTATAATGGTTTTCAAAAGTAAATATTCGTTGTGCTCATATGGCAAAGCAAGAGTCTCCTAGACAGTTGTGAGAAGCTTTGATTTACAAGAGAAACAGGAAAATGGGAAAAATCAAAATTAGAATGTGGTATATATATAAAATACATAATCTACTTATACTGCAGACATTCAAATATTGACAAAATGACATATTTACTTTTTGGAATTATAACTTTACCATCAGTGTTAAATTATATATTTTGAAAGGTGCAGAAAAATTGGAAGGATAACAAATTATGTGTGGTTTAAAACCTTTCTAAATTCACATGACATTTACAGCTTAGAAAGAAATTTAAAGAATTTGTAGAAATTCTTTTCTGTCAAATTGGATCATCAGAAGTCAAAGACCAATGGGATTAGATTTCTTTTAGGAAGAATTTCCAATAAAATATAACTGATTAAGTACAAATAACTCTATTGAATCCATAGACTAAATCTCATAAAAGAAAAGAAAGCTAAGATGGACAGGTGATACAATAAGAATTTGCTTAATTTAAATTGAAAAAAATGTAGTTCAAAACAACAAAATGAACTCGTTTTTCACTGTAAAAATCTATTTTCACTAATGCTTTGCTTTTATAAACTGAACCATTATCAAAATATTATAATTGTTGTGGACATCAGAAGGAAAGATTTATAAGAACCTTTATTTTAAAACAAAGAGAAATAGACAATCCACCCCCTGAAAAGTCTTCACTTAGCATTGGAGAAAATGAAAAAGACCCTTTCACAACCCAGCTCAGGGTTGGCAAGCTCTGCAACGTGCCAGTTAGTAAATATTTTAGATGGGCTGTATTCTAACGACTTAATTCTGCCCTGCAGCACAAAAGCAGCATCAGGCAACACAGAGCTAATAGGCACGGTTGTGTTCCAATACAACTTAGTTTATATTCACTGAAATTTCAATTTCCTATAATTTTCAAGTGTCACAAAATATCACACTTCTTTTGTTTTTTCCTACACTTTCGAAAATGGAAATGCCATTTTTAGCTCACAGGTCTTAGAAAACCAGGTGGTAGACTGCTTTTGCCCTGGCGTAAACCCTGGGACCTGGGTGGCCCAGTGGTATTTTCAAAATCCAGAAGACTAGTTAATGGGCAGGAAAAGGAAAAGTCAGGAAGTTTGGATTTTGTTATTGGAACAGACATAATCTACATATTTATCTTAAATGCCACCAATATGACCAAGGCGATTCTAACACATTAAGTATGCTAAAGTTTTGCATTTGATTTGCAAAATGACTTTTTTTTTATTTTGAGGCTTAACATTATGAGTGATTCTTATTCCAAGAGTACCTACTCAGGGACCTATGCACTACTCGGTCTTTGTTCTAGAAAGTATGGAAACACTTCGAAACCTTCAATGTTAATTGTAGAAGGATTTATAGTTGAAAAGTCTGTATGATTATTCACTATGTCCTCTATTTCAAATATGATATATGGATTCTTTGAATATGTTTAAATATCTCCTGATTCAAGGTAAATTAATATATGTTTGTCTCAAATACCAGTAATGTTTGTATTTGGTCATTATGTGATTAAAACATTACTGTATTCCTGCTGAACTTTATTCTGGCATGGCTAAGTGATTAGCAGTTTTAACATCAAATACAGATTGTATTGATTAAGTAGTTCTGGCAGTGACTAACATTTATCCTTAGAATTAACTGAATTATCCAATCTTTCTTGAACTATCTATTTTTACATAGGCATTAACAGTTCAAGTGTCTCAGGGACAATGACTCAGAATTGGGTAATTATCCAGTTATTTCCTGTTAACTGTTGAGAATGCCTTACTCATGATGCTGAGTAAGCTTTGTAGTAACAAAAAGAGACCCACTTACATCCTCGGAATAGGAAATAGATTAGTCTCCCCTGCAGTGCTGCTGCTTCCTTCACTGTCCACGCTATACCCACTGCCAAAGCTGCTGCCCGAGGAGCCGGTGGACACAGAGCTTTCTGCAGGCCGGTGATTGGGAGGCTTTGCTGCATGGTGTGGGAAGATTCAACACCACAGTCAATAAATGAAGCTGACATTGATCTACAAATGCATCATTATACATCTTCTTAATTTACATGTGACAAGAAACAGCTACTGAAGAACTCTACATTTTTCAACCCGCCTTTTCGTTTCCTTTACTGATAATGAATGGTGGCAACAATAAATTATTTTACTGTTTTTATTGGACATCAAGGAAAAGCAATCACCTTTAGGGAAAAACACATTTAATTTTTAGACCAAGTTAAATAGTATGTAACTATGCTACTATTATTATTTTTGTGGTTTCTTTGTACAGTATTGCAAAAATGATATGGTAAATAAAAAGAATTTTGGCTATTTCATGGAGAAAAGAATTTAGAAAGACTTGGGTAGATAGAAATGGCAAGATAAAGAAAATTGCTTATTTTTTTCCTATTACTAGACTATAATCTGTTTTTCTCCTTAGAAACAAAAATGCAAAATAGAATTTTAAGAAGTGATTGAAAATTCTGTTTGTTTGTATGTACCTCTGCCTACTATCTCCAGCAAGGTTTTAAAATTTAAAGATATTTGTTTCTTTTCAGGCATTTCCTAGTTTATCATTGAGACTTGTCTCAAGAATTTCCTAAGTTTGATATTTGAATATAAGAATCCATATTCCCATACAGACATTACAAATTTGTGCAATAAATTATGCAGTAGGGGTATAGTACTAATATTGTTGTCAGATTTGAGAAGAAATTTTGATGCAAAAAGAAGGAAGATAAGGCAAGTGTTTCCCTGATTTTGCTGGGGAGAAGTTTCTCTAGTAAGTTTTTGAAATCGTTGATATTTGTCTTCCGCCAGAGAGAGTGAACTTTTCGGTCACACCGATCTGGTTTTGACTCCCAACCCACTCTTTAGCAACTGTACACTGCTTTTCTCATTTGAAAACAATGGGAGTCAGTAATGCCTACCTCATAAAATTGTGATTATGAGGAGTGAGATATGTAGGAGCCCAGTAACTTACTCTTCTTCCTCTTGTGATATTATTTGCCACATCACCACTCTTCTCATGGGCTTTACTGTCAACAGCTGTTTCTTACTGTCTTTGAGCTTAAATAGTCTTTGACAATGAATTTAACTCTATTCTCTTCTCAAGGTATCCCCACTCTTCTCAAGGGCTTTACTGTCAACAGCTGTTTCTTACTGTCTTTGAGCTTAAATAGTCTTTGACAATGAATTTAACTCTATTCTCTTCTCAAGGTATCCCCACTCTTCTCAAGGGCTTTACTGTCAACAGCTGTTTCTTACTGTCTTTGAGCTTAAATAGTCTTTGACAATGAATTTAACTCTATTCTCTTCTCAAGGTATCCCCACTCTTCTCAAGGGCTTTACTGTCAACAGCTGTTTCTTACTGTCTTTGAGCTTAAATAGTCTTTGACAATGAATTTAACTCTATTCTCTTCTAAATCTAGATGTGTTCAAACCTACAGTTCTACTTAGAGTCTTTTTTCTTCATAAATGCGTCCCTATCCCATTAGGAGTTTATTAGCCAGTTGGATAGAGTTATACTAATGGGTGAACAGTTGATAATCATTTCACGATCCTAAGATATCTACATATTTCTTAAGGATATGTATAAAAACACAATTATTCTTAATCTGGTGGAATTTTAACCAATATAATAACCACATGAAGTGAAACACATAAACATTGTGTGGGAAACCATTTGAGGACAGGAAATCCACCCTCAGGGTAGCTAGGATCAAGTCTTGCAAAGGATTTAACTTTTCCCCCATTTCTTCACTTTTTCAATTTCGTCGGTAGCAGGTTCTCTAAAGCCACAAGGAATTTTTATATATATTCCAGTGGTAGTAGGATCCCTTCCCGAGAATAGGGAACAAGAAAGAAATTGTTAATAGTTAGTCAATTGTATATCAGATGTGTATAAGTTAGAAACGGCTATTTAGGAAAATGTGTTCCTAACTTATAGACATCTGATATACAATTGACTAATTGAACTGAATGCTGTTAAACAACCAGTCATCAAGGAATTGCTAGTAACCCACAGGACTGGATTTGTGGAAACAGAATAGTTATGTTTCTGAATATTTTCTTTATTTTATGTAGAAGAAACCCAGATGGTGTAGTTAGTGTTAAAAAAAACTTCTTAAAAGAATAATTTTAAAAATGTAAAGGTAATGTGAGTAGGATGTAAAATGATGGACATGTATAAAGTAGATTAAAATGCATAACCTACATAATGAGTCAGATTAGTCAATTGATTATAAACAAAAGAAAGCTGTCATACTTTTTGATGGGATTCTATAATCCAATTCATAATTTTTAGTATGACATTGAATGGAAGACATTAATTTCATCAATTGGAAAATCACAATTTACTATTTTCAAAGATAAACCTTAATTATTAGACACTAATATTCAATCAATTTATATTTATTAAATTAAAATAATTTTAATTCAAGAGCAAACTCACAATGAACAAAAATAGCTACATTATAAAAATGATTTATTATCTATGTTTCAAAATCGTCCATCCTTTGTTTTGTCAACTTTGGTTTTACCTGATGCGATTTTTAGTTCTATTCCTCTTCTGGAAAAGTTGAGAAATGTGTACAGAATATAAAATAGCATAATAAGAAGAAAGAAACAAAGCTAGAAATAAATTTAAGAAAAGACAGGTTTTTTTTCCATCTTGCCAATCTCTTTGAATAGAATTCTCATTTTGAAAGCCTGTGCAAGTGTTGTCAATATTTTAAATGCAAACAAATAACATTTTATAAGAAATATTAAAAAAGAAAACCAAATCCAGGGGACATTTACCTATGATGGAATCAGTCTAACATCTCTGCAAAACATGATTACATCTAAGGTTCTGTCTATGGAAATTTTAGGCAGTTAGAAATTAGGTGAATAATTCAAATGAATCTAGTTATTTGGAGTTATCACAACAAAACATCCGGTGCTGGATTAAATTCTGTATTCTTAACTTGGTATCTAAGTGTAGTGCAGAGATATATAGCCTCACATTTGGTTAGTTTCTGAAAAATGAATTAAATTAAAACACACAACAGATCTTTTCTTCTTGCTGGGCTGTATCTGCATATCATAAAATGTGATAAAACAAAAAATGGAGAGGTTTTGATAAGCTGGTTCTAAGAATCCGTATTTTAATATATCTTTTCCAGATACTTGAAACATGTATTTACTCATTTCTTTCTCTTGAAACAGACTTCAAGAAATAAAACATCAATTCTATTAAATTGAGCTAAATCTGCATAAAGGCAAACTTTTTTTTAACAAATAAAGTGTATTTAGGACTTTATTATCTGAGGCTGGATCTTAGGTAATTTCAAGACATCTAATAATTTCCACCACATTCTTTATTTTGCCTCTCAAAAGAGTTTTTTATTGGTCTGGTCTTTCCAAATATATCTCTTGTAATTCTCCTTCAAACACTTTACATGGAAGCCCTCTCAGTCCATTCACTCTGGCTCCCTTTGGTTTGGCTTTTTTCTTTCCAACTTTACTAAGCTCTCTTTTATCCCATCACTTTCTTGTATCTAAATTAAAGTTATCTGTAAAGGCCTAGCTCAGAAATCACCTGCTTCATGCATTTTTCCTCATTCTCCCATTCAGAAGTGACCTCTCCTATGTCTGGACTCTTGTAGCACATACTCTGTCGTTATTGGAAGCAAAGCCTATGTTTTCTCCTTGGTAACTTCCTTAAAAGCTTGTCCCGGAACCATGTTTGAACAATATTTAATGAATAAGTAATAATAATAATAATACATTAATACTTCTTTCCTTTAACCAATCAAAACATCTGAATGATTTAGTAGATAATTTCACTTTTTAAATCAAGCTTTGTGTTTTATACAAATCATAAATTTCTCAACAAGAAGTCCACTTGATATGGAAGCTTTTTTTCCATGTTCTTTGTCAAAGAAACTTTAGGGAGTCATTTTTTTTAGCTTTTAAA